>NC_000002.12:19479452-19630967 GCF_000001405.40 Homo sapiens | reverse complement strand
ATGAACTTGGTGGCTTAAACAACAGAAATTGTTTTGCAGTTCTGGAGGCCAGAGCCTGAGATCAAGATGTCAACAGGGTTGGTTCCTTTGGAGGGCTGTGAGAGAGAATCTGTTCCGGGCTTTCCTCCTAGCTTCTGGTGGTCTCAGACATTCTTTGGCATGTAGATGGCATTCTCCCTTTGTCTTCTCATCATGTTCATGTGTCTGTGTCCAAATTTCCCCTTTTTTATAAGAATACCAGTCATAGGGGATTAGGCCCCACCCCATTCCAATGTGACCTCATTTAAGTTTAACTAATTGTATCTGCAATGACTCCATTTCCAAAGAAGTTCACATTCTGAGATAGTGGGAGTGAAGACTTCAACGTATGAATTTTGGAAGGAACGCAATTTGACCGATATCATTTACAAAACAGAAATCCAAAGATAAAACTATTAAGAATTTTAAAATGGTAGCCACAGCACACTAAACCCCAAGCAGGAGGCTCCCTCTGGAGCACAAGGCCCTGTGAAGCTGAACAGATTATATGCCCATTCTGCACTGGGTAGAAAATGTGTCTCTAGATTTAGCTCCTTGGAGAAAGATGTCTCTACCCCTCTGACTCTTGGGTACGTATGTGATAGGATTTTATCTATGACTCTGGAACTGACACTAGAGCCCACAACAGAAACCAGCAGGCGTTACTGACCCCATGTTCTAGAGACAGATGTCAGCAGATGGAGTCAGACCCCTGCCCACCCATTATTTCTTCCCTGGGCAGAGCTTACTAAGAGCTGGCAAAACCACTGTCTACTTCCATCACCAACATCCTTACCTCCTCCAGCCCCCAACTTCATAAGCACAGAACTGGGAAGGGCAAGGGAGACAGGCCTGGGAATCAGGGTCTTTGTCTTTGTGGGAATTGTAGCGGTATCCTGCCTCACTACCAGCAACACGGATGGTGTCAACTAGTTAGGGTTAGCAACAGAAACAGCCAGAACCAGGAGAGATGAGACGACAACAATGAGCAATTAACTCTTTCCTACTCTCCCTCCCAACCCAGGCCATAGAAAGCCAGGGAGGAGTTATCCCAGAGTCAGACCACGACTTCTTTTTAGTGTGCAGGAGTGGGAGGAAGGGCGAAAAGGGAAACCAACCCAACATTTGCCATTCCAAGCCTCTCAAGCACAAGCCTGACCTGCATTGAAGGGAGAGAAGGAACAAAATGTTTGTTGAATATCAGACTGTAGTCTTACACTGCACTGAATGAGACTGGCCTAATTATAAATGAGAATGATGGTAAGCTATGGGATCTGCTCAGATGGGGTTAAGGACAAGAAGACAAAGCTCACACAGCTGAGATTAGTAATAGGAAGAAAATATAGCTTTCTGGCATTTACACACCCACTGAATTGAGATGACGAACAAAATTGGTTACACGATACTTGGATAAAGTTTTGATTTCATTGCCTCTGTGATATTTCCATTGGATTTTAAAGAGGACTGCAGTGCTCACTCAATTTTCCATTGACCTCCAATACATCCCTCTTCCCTTCCATATGAGGCCCTACAACTGGCTCTGGTCAATAAAATGTAATCAGAAGTGTAGACATGGCACCTCCAGGCAGAGGCAATGAAAAGCCCATGTGTGAATATCCAGTCTCTCTTGATATGTTGTGTGTAGCTGTTGAGAAGTCTGCATAATGCAGTAAATCCATCCAGTCCTGGGATTATCTTTGATGGGAGACTTTTTATTACAGATTCAATTTTGTTACTTATTGTTGGTCTGTTCAGGCTTTCTATTTCTTTCTGGTTCACTCTTGAGAGGTTGTATGTGTCTAGAAATTTATCCATTTTCCTGTAGGTTTTCCAGTTAATTAGTGTATAACTTATTCATAATATTCTCTAATGATCCTTTTGTATTTTGTGCTATCAGTTGTAATGTTTCCTTTTTCATTTCTGATTTTGTTTATTTGGGTTTCTCTTTTTATTTGTCTAGCTGGTAATCTATCAATTTTATTTATATTTTCAAAAAACCAACTTTTTGTTTTGTTGATCCTTTATATTTTTCTTTATTTTGTTTAGTTCCATTCTGCTCTTTATTACTTCTTTTCTTTTACTAATTTTGGGTTTGGCTTATTCTTGCTTTTCTAGTTCTTGAAGTGCATCATTAGGTTGTTTAAAATCTTCCCAGTTTTTTTGATATAGGCATTTATTTCTATAAACTTTCCTCTTTCCTTCTTAGTGCTCCTTTTGCTGTATCCCATAGGTTTTGGTAGGCTGTGTTTCCATTTTAATTTGTTTCAAGAAGTTTATTAATTTCTTCCTTAATTTCTTTATTGCTCCAGTGGTCATTCAGGAGCTTGTTTTTAATTTTCATGTATTTTTAAAGTTTCCCAAATTCCTTTTGTTATTGATTTCTAGTTTTAGAAATCAGTCTAAAAGACTGATATGAGAAGATACTTGATATAATTTCAAATTTTAAGAATTTGTTGAGACTTGTTTTGTGGCATAATATATAATATATGGTCTATCCTGGAGAATGTTTCATATGCTGATGAGAAAAATGTGTATTCTGTAGCTGTTTGATGAAATGTTCTGAAAATATCTATTAAGTCCATTTGTTCTATAGTGCACATTAAGTTCAATGTTTCTTTGTTGACTTTATGTCTAGATAATCTGTCCAGTGCTGAAAATGGGGTATTATAGTCCCCAGCTATTACTGTGCTGGGGCCTACCTATCTCTTTAGCTCTAATATTTGCTTTATATAGCTTGGTGCATATATATTTACAGTAGTTATATCCTGTTGCTGAATTTATTTCTGTATCATTATAGGAATCATATCATGATTTGTCTCCTTTAAATGATTTTTAACCTAAAATCTATTTTGTCTGATATAAGTAAGTATAGGTACTTCTGTGTGCCTTCAGTTTTTGTTTGTGTGGATTTTTTTTCATTCCTTCACTTTCAGTCTATATGTGACTTTACATGTAAAGTAAGTTTCTTGTAGGCAGCATATAGTTTTGTCTTGTTTTTCTTTTTAAAAATCCCTTTAGCCAGTCTTTATCTTTTAATTTGGCAAATTAAACCATTTACATTCAAAGTTGTTAATGATAGGTAAGAACTTACTCAAGTATTTTGGTAATTGTTTTTTGACTATTTTATATTTCATTTGTTCTTTTCTCCCTCTTTTATTATTTACCTTTACAATCTGGTAACCTTTTGTAGTGGTAATGTATGATTCATTTATATTTTTCCTTTGTGAATCAGTTCTACCAGTGAGTTTTATATTTCTGTGGGTTTTCATGATGGTAGACATTGTCCATTCATTTCAAAATGTAGGACTCTCTCAAGCATTTCTTGATGAATTCCTTTAGTTTTTGCTTGTCTGGGAAATACTTCATTTTTCCTTCATTTTTGAATGATAGCTTTCCTGGGAATAGTATTCTTGGCTGACAGCTTATTTTTTTTCTGTCAGCACTTTGAATATGTCATCTCATTCTTTCCTGGCCTGTAAGGTTTCTGCTGAGAAATCTACTGTTAATCTGATGAGGATTGCCTTATATGTGACTTGATGCTTTCCTCTTGTTGTTTTTAGAATTCTTACTTTGTATAACTTTTGACAGTTTGACTATAATATACCTTGGGAAAGACATTTTGGGTTGAATCTATTTGGTAATCTTTGAGCTTTTTGTATCTGAATGTCTATATATCTTGCCAGAATTGGGAAGTTTTCAGTTAGTATTTTGTTAAATTGGTTTTCTGTACCTTTGCCCATCTCTTCTCCTTCCAGAACCCCCCAAAAGTTGAATATTTGGTCATTTTGTGGTGTCTCAAATGTCACTTTCTTCATTTTTATATTCTTCTATCTTTTTGTGCGTGTGTCTTACTGGGTTATTTCAAAAGGCCTGTCTTCAAGTTCAGAAATTCTTTCTTCTGATTGATCTAGTGTATTGTTGAAGCTCTCTTAACGGTATCTTTTTATTTCATTCATTGAATTCTGTAGTTCCGGGATTTAAAAAAAATGATATCTATCTCTCTTGAATTTCTAATTCAGACCATGAATTGTTTTCCTGATTTCTTTGTACTGTTTATCTGTGTTCCCTTGTATCTTCCTGAATGTCTTTAATATCATTATTTTAAATTATTTTTGAGGCATTTCATAGATTTTCTTTTTTGTCAGAATATGGTATGGAGAATTGTTGTTTCTTCTGAGGCATCATGTTTCATTGCTTTTCCATATTTCTTGTGTATTTATGTGGACATCTGCATGTCTGGTGTAAAAGTCACATCTTCCAATGTTATGAATTGGCTTTCAGAGGGAAATTTTTTTTTCCTATAGATGTATGTATAGTGTTTGTTGTGTAGGGCACTTTGGCTTTGATTCCCAGTGGGCGTGGTAAAGTGGTCTCTGTATGATTTCTTTGGCTATAATCAGTGTCAGTGGTTACTGAGAGTACCTCAGCGGCTTACTCCGTGGTTCTTAGCAGAAGCTATGGTAAGGCTGGGGACAAGGATGCCATGCAGGCCAGTCCGCAGGCACCATTGGTGACAACAGCAAGCTGAGTTTGCTGATCCTAGGGCACCTGAGCAGCATATACAGGCTCCAGTTGTACAGGGTTTAGGGCAATTGATCCTTGGGCTTCCAGGTTGCTTGCTTGGATGCCAGCAGTGGTAGATGTGGATCAGGTGGTCAGGTTGGCCGTCAGGCTCCTGAGTGGCATGCATGACATCAGCAGTGACAGTAGCACTGTCACTAGGGTCAACCCTTAGGTCCCTGAGCAGCATGCATGGGTGTTGGTGGTGATAAGGGTGGGTGGTAAGGCCATACAGGTGGGTTTTGGTGTCAGTGGTGTTGGTAGGACCCATGCCCATGCACCCCAGGGAGGTGCATGTAGGCAGTAGTGGCCGGTAGGGTGGACCTATCCTCAGGCCTTGTTGTAGTGGTGGGAAGGACAGATCAATCCCCACGCCCCTGGTAACATGCATGAGTATTGACAGTGGCAGACAAGGCAGGGCTGTCATTAAGCTCTCCAATGGTGTATGCAGGTGCTGGCTGTAGTGAGAGAGGAGGATTGACCCCCATACTCCTGGATGGCATGGTGGAGCACTGGCAGTGGTGACATTGGGTGGGGCAGACCTATCCTCAAGTCCCCAGATGGCAAACATGGGCACTGGTGGGGGCAGGCAGGGCAGCCTGATCCCAAGACTCCCAGATGGCATGCTCGAGCACCAGCATGTGCTGATATTGGATGTGACTGGGGATGCTCTGTTCTCCTATTTGGATATTATTTTCCTGAATATTTTTCATATTTATTTTTAATCTTCTTACATCACTGCATCTCATTTCTGTCTCTTGTAAATAATACATTGCCAGTCTGGCACTCTTCAGTTTTTAAATGGATCACTTGATACATTTATAATATTTTTTCATTTACAATTATTTTAGGTTACTAATATTTTTGGATACTGCTTTATTATATTTTTCTGACTTTTTCAATGTTTCTTTGGTATTCTATATTTCTCTTTATTGTCTTTTTTTGGACTTAGTACTATATTTAACTGAGTCTAAGATGACATTGATTATAAGCACATAATTTTATCACTAAGAAAAGAAAACACCCCCTTATTCTATAATAGAATGCTTTGTTAATACTTAGAATAATTATTTCATATTTACAGAAATAATGCTATTAGAAGCATTCAGACATAGTTTTTTTAAAAATCCCAAATCACACATATTCATACATAAAAAGGAAAATGTAAGTGAAATAAATTGATAAGATATTCTTTAAACTTCTTCACAATGAGAGTCTATCAAGTCTGTTGGTAATAAACATTTTTAAGAGTGCAATTCTATTGGATTTATTATCTAATAATTCAATTTAGGATTTTATTCCAAGTTGCTGACAGGAATTTTGCAGTTTTAATGCTGGGTTTTTCTTGATCTTACCAGACGGTGTCAATGGAAGGTTTTTGGAAAACAACTGGGTCTCATAATCCTAGTTTTAATGTTTTGTATGTGGCATGCCCTCTGACACCTTGGGGACTTGTAGTAGTCCAGTAATGCTATCAGGAGTAATTACAAGGCCTTTACATATGCAAACAAAGGCTATTTCATAAGACTCTACTGCCTAGCTGACTCCAATTATCAGACACTTTCAATCACAAGATTCATCCTGATTTTAGAAATGTTAAAATGTGAAAAAAAAATGTGGTGTGTGTGTGTATGTGTGTGTGTATATATATATATGCACAATGGAATACTATTTATTCAGCCTTATAAAAGAAAGAAATCTTGCCATTTGCAACAACATGTATAAACATGGAGGATATTATTTTAAGTGAAATAAGCCAGGCACAGAAAGATAATGCCATGTGATCTCACATATGTGGAGCTCTTATGTGAAAACAGAGAGTAGAATGGTGGTTACCAGAGGCTGAGTACTGGGGAGATGTTGGTCAAATGATACAAATGTTCGGCTAGACAAGAGGAATAAGTTCAAGAGATCCATTGTACAACATAATAACTATAGTTAATAACAATGTTTTGTATATTTGAAAATTGCTAGACAGTAGATTTTTAAGTGTTTTCATCACACAAAAGTGGTAGGTAATGCATATGTTAATTAGCTTAATAGAGGCATTCCACAGTGTATACATATTTCAAGACATTGTTTTACACCATAAATATGTATAATTTTTCTATCAAATTAAAAAAGAAATAGCAAAGTCTAAGGTTATTCAACATCTTTAGCTCCCTCTAAATAAATGGAACAACTATAAAATGAAAAAAATAATAAATAAACCATTGAATTTTCATAAGAAAACATGAGACAATTCCATTATGACCAAGAAGAGGTGACTTTTCTGATATGACCCAAAATCTAGAAGCTATAAAAAAAGTTGATAGATTTGTTATTAAAGAAAACTCTTATTGCAAATAAATGCATTAATTAATAAAAATTAGTATATGAAAGTCAAAAGACTGATGACAAAGTGTAAAAATGCAATTAAAATCATAAACAAAATTATTCTCTTTTTAATGCATAAAATTCTTGAAGTAATTGAGAAAAAACTATTAATCTAATATGTAAACCAGCAAAAACAAAAAGGAAACTAAACTCACAAAAAAATAAATATAAATTGCCCTTAAATAAATAAAAAGATGCTCAGCCTCACTTACAGCAAGACAAATGAAAATGGAAACTATGCTAAGATATCTTTTTTTTTCCTTCAGATTGGCAAAAATCCAAAATGTCTGTGCACACTGCTGGTGAGGCTATGGTAAAACAATTACATATTTCTGGTTGGTGTGTCCTTGTGAAGTGAAATTTGGCAGTAAGTAACAAAATTACTCATGCATTTCCCACGGATCAGCATCTCCACTTGACATAAAATAAATGCTAGAGATACACATCTACAGGTATGAACTACAAGTTCTGTAGTATACAAGGATACAGTTAATTTATTCTGTTGTCTATGATGGCATAAACAGCTTAAGTGCTTATCAATAGGGGACTGCTTGTATAAAGTAGATTTCAGATTACAATGGGCTACTATATAGGTAAAAAAAAAAAAAAAGAATAAGTAGAAGAATTCCAATTAATAAACGTAGGAGGAATGAGGCAACTAGAACATTTTCATTAGAACATCACAGTAATAGTTGCTGCAAGCAAGATCCACAGATTAATGCTACAATTAGTGAGTGAAACATTAACGAGAAACAGGATAATTGCATAGCCTTGAGGTATCTCAATACATTAATCATGTATTAATGATTGTGGTGCTCACAGATTGAGAAATGTGCATAACCTAGATGAAGAAAACCTTGTGACATCACAAAAGGACACTTGAACAAATTAAAATGTATATGATACAAAATTACAAATATGTCAATTAATCATAAATAGGATTGCTATGTCTTCTTGGTGGATTGACCCTTTTATCATTACATAATGTACCTGGTAATTTTCTTTGCTCTGATGCTTACTTTACCTGATACTAATATAGCAATTCCTGCTTTTCTTTTGGATTAAGATTTGCATGGTATATATATTTCCATCCTTTTACTTTCAACCTACCTGTATCATTATATTTGAAGTGAGTTTATTGTAAACAGCATTTAGTTGGGTCATGTTTTTCAAACTACTCTGTTGATGTGTGTTAATTGGTGTGTTTAGATAACTTACATTTGATGTAATTATTTATATGTTAGTACTTAAGTCTGACATTTAAAATTTTTTTTCTCTCTATATTTCATTGTTATTTCTTTGTTTTCTTTTTTATGTCTTCTTGTGGGTTAAACATTTTTGGAATTCCATTTTTATTTTATTTATTTTTCTTCATTTTAAAAATCAGCTTTATTGAGGTGTAATTGCATATTTTAAAACTGCATATGTTTAAGGCATACAATTTGATAAGTTTGGACACATACATGCACTCATGATAGGATTACCATGATCAAGGTAATAAACATATCCATCACCTCCAAAAGCCACCTGCATGGTTTTTACAATAAGAAGTAATTCTCTTTTTAAAATTGCATGCATGTTGAGCTAGCAATACCACTTAGTATATCCCCCAAAATATAATTGTACATGTTTACAGAGATGCTTATAACTGTGTTATTTGTTTTATTTTTTAATTTTTATTTTTTATTTCAAAAGGTTTCTGGGGAACAGATGGTGTTTGGTTACATGGATAAATTCTTCTAGTCATGATTTCTGAGATTTTGGTGCACCCTACAGCTAAGCAGTGTATACTATACCCAGTGTGTAGTCTTTTATCCTTCACCTGCTTCCCACCCTTTCTCCTGAGTCCCCAGAGTCTATTGCATCATTCTTATGCCTTTGCATCCTCATAGCATAGATCCCACTTATGAGTGAGAATGCATGATATTTG
Source organism: Homo sapiens (assembly GCF_000001405.40). Taxonomy (NCBI): domain Eukaryota; kingdom Metazoa; phylum Chordata; class Mammalia; order Primates; family Hominidae; genus Homo; species Homo sapiens. The sequence continues at coordinate 19,622,083 of NC_000002.12, read as the reverse complement.
GTTTTCCATTCCATCCAGGTTGCTGCTAATGCCATTGTTTCATTCTTTTTTATGGCTGAGTAGTATTTCCATGGTGTGTGTGTGTGTGTGTGTGTGTGTGTGTGTGTGTGTGTATAATTTTCTTTATCCACGCGTTGGTATCCTTTCCGCAGCTTTACATTTGTGTTTGCTTTGTCCAAGATCAGTTGACTATAAGTATTTAACTTTATTTCTGAGTTATCTATTCTTTTCCATTTGTCTATGTGCCTATTTTTATACCAGTACCATTCTGTTCTGGTGACTATGGCCTTATAGTATAGGTTGAAGTCGGGTAATGTGAGGCCTCTGGATTTGTTATTTCTGCTCAGTCTTGCTTTGGCTATATGGGCTCTTTATTGGTTTTATATGAATTTTAGGATTGTTTTTTCTAGTTCTGTGAAGAATGATAGTGGTATTTTGGTGGGAATTGCATTCAATTTGTAGATTGCTTATGGCAGTATGGTCATTTTTACCATATTGATTCTATCTGTCCATGAGTATGAGATGTGTTTCATTTGTTTATGTCATCTATGATTTATTTCAGCAGTGTTTTGTAGTTTTCCTTGTGGAGGTCTTTCACCTGCCTGGTTAGGTATATTCCTAAATTAATTAATTAATTAATTAATTTGCCACTATTGTAAAAGAAGTTGAATTCTTGATTTGATTCTCAACTTGGTTGCTGTTGGTGTATAGCAGTGCTAGTGATTTGTGTACATTAATTTTGTATCCTGAAAATTTACTGAATTCATTTATCAGTTCTAGGAGCTTTTTGGATGAGTCTTTAGGGTTTTCTGTGTATACGATCATATCATCAGCAAACAGCAACAGTTTGACTTCCTCTTTAATAATTTGGATGCCATTTATTTCCTTCTATTGTCTGATTGCTTTGACTTAGACTTCCAATACTATGTCGAATTGAGGTGGTGAGAGTGGGTATCCTTGTCTTGTTCCAGTTTTTTGGGGGGAATGCTTTCAGTTTTTCCTTCTTCAGTATAATGTGGCTGTGGGTTTGTCATACATGGCTTTTATTATCTTAAGGTATGTCCTTTGTATGCTGATTTTGCTGAGGGTCTTTATCATAAAGAAAGCTGAATTTTGTCAAATGTGTTTCTCTGTGTTGAGATGATTATGTGATTTTTGTTTTTAATTTTGTTTATGTGTTATGTCACATTTATTGACTTGTGTATAGTAAACCATCACTGCATCCCTGGTGTGAAACCCACTTGATCATGGTGGATTATCTTTTTGATATACTGTTGAATTCAGTTAGCTAGTATTTTGTTAAGACTTTTTGCATCTATGTTCATCAGGGATATTGGTCTGTAGTTTTCTTTGTTTGTTGTTGTTTTTTTGTTATGTCCTTCCCTGGTTTTGGTATTAGGGTGATACTGGCTTCATAGAATGATTTAGGAAGAATTCTCTCTTTCTCTTTCTTTTGGAATAGTGTCAATAGGATTAATATCAATTCTTCTTTGAATGTCTGATAGAATTTAGCTGTGAATCCATCTGGTCCTGGACTTTTATTTGTTGGTAATTTTTAATTATTATTTCAATCTTGCTGCTTGTTATTGGTCTGTTCAGAGTTTCTATTTCTTCCTGGTTTAATCTAGGAAGGTTGTATATCTCCAGGAATTTACCCATCTCCTCTAGGTTTTCTGGTTTATGCACATAAAGCTACTCACAGTAACTTTGAATGACCTTTTGTATTTCTGTGGTATTGGTTGTAATATCTTCCATTTCATTTCTAATTGAGCTTATTTGGATCTTCTCTCTTCTTTTCTTGGTTAATTATGCTAATGGTCTATCAATTTTATCTTTTCAAAGAACCAGATTTTTGTTTCATTTATCTTTTGTATTGTTTTTGTTTGTTTGTTTTATTCTTGTTTCTGTAGTTTCTTGTGGTGTGATCTTAGATTATCTATTTGTGCTCTTTCAGACTTTTTGGTGTAGGCATCCAGTGCTATGAACTTTCTTCTTAGCCCTGCTTTTGTTGTATCTCAGAGGTTTTGATAGATTGTGTCACTATTATTGCTCAGTTCAAAGAATTTTTAAAATTTCCATCGATTTCATTGTTGACCCAATGATCATTCAGGAGCAGGTTATATAATTTCTATGCCTTTGCAGGGTTTTGAGGGTTCCTTTTGAAGTTGATTTCCGATTTTATTCCACTGTGGTCAGAGAGTACTTGATATAATTTCGAGTTTCGTAAATTTATTGAGACTTCTTTTGTGGCCTATCATATGGTCTATCTTGGAGAATGTTCCATTTGCTGATGAATAGATGAATAGAATATATATTCTGCAGTTGTTGGAAAGAATGTTCTGTAAATATCTGTCAAGTCCATTTGTTCTAGGGTATAGTTTAAGTCCATGGTTTCTTTGTTGACTTTCTGTCTTGATGACCTGTCTAGTGCTGTCAGTGGAGTATTGAATTCCCCCACTATTATTGTGTTGCTGTCTAATTTCTTAGGTTTAGTAGTACTTGTTTTATAAATTTAGGGGCTCCATTGTTAGGTGCAAATATATTTAGGATTGTGATATTTGTCTTTTGGACTAGTCCTTTTATCATTATATAATGTCCCTCTTTGTCTTTTTAAACTCGTTGCTTTAAAGTCTGCGTTGTCAAATATAAGAATAGCGACTCCTGCTTGTTTTTAGTGTCTGTTTGTATGGGATATCTTTTTGCACACCTTTACCTTATGTGAATTCTTATGTGTTAGGTGAGTCTATTGAAGACAGCAGATACTTGGTGGGCGAATTCTTATCCATTCTGCCATTCTGTATCTTTTAAGTGGAAGATTTAGGACATTTACATTCAACATTAGTATTGAGAAGTAGGTAGTATTCTATTCATTGTGCTAGTTGTTGCCTGGATACATTGTTGTTGTTGTTTTCATTGTTATTGTTTTATAGGTCCTGTGAGATTTATCCCTTAAGGAAGTTCAATTTTGGGGTATTTCAAGAATTTGCTTCAAGATTTAGAGCCTTTTTAGAGGTTCTTGTGGTGCTGGTGTGGCAGTGTTGAATTCTCTCAGCATTTGTTTGTCTGGAAAGACTGTATCTTTCCTTCACTTACGAAGCTTAGTTTTGCTGGATACAAAATTCTTGGCTGATAATTGCTTCCTTTAAGGAGGCTAAAGATAGGAACTCAATGCCTTCTAGCTTGTAGGGTTTCTGCTGAGAAATCTGTTGATCTGGTAGGTTTTCCTTTATAGGTTACCCAATGCTTTTTCCTCACAGTTCTTAAAATTCTTTTCTTTGTTTTAACTTTAGATTACTTGGACTATATGCTTAGGCAATGATCTTTTTGCAGTGAATTTCCTGGGTGTTCTTTGAGCTTCTTGTATTTGAATGTCTTAATCTCTAGCAAGTCCAGGGAAGTTTTCCTCGATTATTCCCTCAAATATGTTTTCCAAGCCTTTAGATCTCTCTTCTTCCTCGGAAACACCAATTATTCTTAGGTTTGGTTGTTTAACATAATCCCAAACTTCATGGAGACTTTGCTCAGTTTTTACAATACTTTTTTCTTTGTCTTTGTTGGATTGGGTTAATTTGAAAGCCTTGTCTTCGAGGTCTGAAGTTCTTTCTCCTACTTGTTCTATTCAATTGCTGACACATTCCAGTGTATTTTGCATTTCTCTAAGTGTGTCCTTTATTTCCAGAAGTTGTGATTGTTTTTTATTTATGCTGTCTATTTCTGTGGAGATTTTTCCATCCATATCCTGTAACATATTTTGATTTCTTTATGTTTGTGTTCACCTTTCTCTGGTGCCTCCTTGAGTAGTTTAATAATTAACCTTCTGATTTTTTTTTTCTGGCAATTCAGAGATTTCCTCTTGGTTTGGATCCATTGCTGGTGAGCTAGTATGATCTTTTGGGGGTGTTACAGAACCTTGTTTTGTCATATTGTCAGAATTGTTTTTCTGGCTCCTTCTAATTTGGATAGATTTGGGTATATTATGTCAGAGGGAAGATCTGGGGCTCAAGGGCTATTGCTCGAATCTTTTGTCCCATGGGGTGCTCCCATGATGTGGTGTTCTTCCCCTTCCCCTAGGGATAGGGCTTCCCAAGAGCCAAATTGTAGTGATTGTTATTTCTCTTCTGGGTCTAGCCACCCTGTGGGGCTACCAGTCTCTAGGATGGTACTGGGGAGTGTCGGCAAAGAGTTGTGTAATGCGATCTGTCTTCAGGTCTCTCTGCCATGGATACCAGCACCTGCTCTGGTGGAGGTAGCAGTGGAGTGAAGTAGACTGTGAGAGTCCTTGGTTATAGTTTTGTTTAGTGTGCTAGTTTTGTGTTTATTGGTCCCCAGCCAGGAGGTGTTGCTTTCAAGACAGCATCGATTGCATTAGCATAGGGAGGATACAGGGTTGCCCTAGGGTTGCCTGGATAAGTTTCTCAGGCAGTGAGCAGGGCCATAGATCTCCCAAGAGATTATGTTCTTTGTCTTCAGCTACCAGGTTCATGGAGAAAGACCATGAGGTGTGGGAAGGGTTAGGAGTGTCTGAGTTCAGCCACTTCTTAAGTGGGGCTTGCTGCAGCTGCTGTGGGGGATAAAGGTGTGGTTCTCAGACAGATGGAGTTATGTTACAAGGGGGATTATGGCTGCCTTTTCTGAGTCATACAGGCCATCAGGGAAGTGGGGGAAAGGTGGCAGTGACAGGCCTCACCCAGCTCCCATGCAACCCAAAAGGCCAGTGTCACTCCTACAGTGCTCCCCCAACAGCACCAAGCTTATTTCCAGGCAGCAGGTGAGGTGAGCAGAGCTGAGAACTTGCTCCAGGCTAAAAGCCTCCCTGCTGAGAATGCAAGCAGGGCTTTCAGGTTTTAGGCCTACCCCGATGCAGTTTTTGTGCTTGTATCTGCACTCCCTGTTCACCTTCTCCCCTGGATTCTGTCCAGGACACTTAACATTTGGTCAAAATTGTTACAAAGCTCATCTGGAAGTTTTCTTCTCCCCGTGGCCTTTCCCCGTGGAATTCCATTTTGATTCACTTATAGTGTATTTGAGTGAATCTTTTTGAATAAAATTTTAGGAGTAGCTATAGGCATTTATATATGTACATGTGTATGTGTATATATATATGTACATATATACATAAGTGTGTGTATATATATGTATGTGTATATATAACTTATGACTATTTACCAGTTTGAGTGTAGACACCATGCCATGCCTCCTTTGAAGTTTCTTTCTTCCTTTTATTATTATTTTTTTTAACAGTCTCACTCTGTCACCCAGGCTAGAGTACAGTGACACAATCTTGGCTCACGGCAACCCCCACCTCCTGGGCTCAAGCAATCTTTCCATTTCAGCTTCCTGAGTAGCCGAGACTACAAGCATATGCCACCAAGTCTGGCTAATTTTTGTATTTTTGGTAGAGACAGGGTTTCACTTGGGCTCAAGTGGTCTGCCTGCCTTGGCCTCCCAAAGTGCTGAGATTACAGGTGTAATCATTACACCCAGCCTCTTTAAGTTTCTTCACCCTTCTACACATAAAATTGTCTCAACAGGAAAAGAAAAAGTGAAGTCTATGATATCTATAATATTTACCCATATTTTTTCTCTTTCCATTGTCCTTCCTTCCTTTCTGATGTTCCAAAGTTCCTTCTTTTATCATATCCTTTCTGTTTAGGGAAGGTCTCTGATATAATTTGTCCTCTCCAAATCTCATGTTGAAATGTCATCCCCAATGTTGGAGGTGGGACCTGTTGGGAGATGTTTGGATCATGGGGGTGGATCTTTCCATGAATGGCTTGACACCCTCCCTGTGGTAATGAGTGAGTTCCCACTCTATTAGTTCATGCAAGATCTGATGTTGCAGGAAGTCAGGGACCCAGAATGGAGGGACCAGCTGGAGCCACGGCAGAGGAACATAAATTGTGAAGATTTCATTTTAATATGGATGTATATCAGTTCCCAAAATTAATACTTTTATAATTTCTTACGCCTGTCTTTACTGCAATCTCTGAACATAAATTGTGAAGATTTCATGGACATTTATCAGTTCCCAAATAATACTCTTATAATTTCTTATGCTTGTCTTTACTTTAATCTCTTAATCCTATTATCTTCATAAGCTGAGAATGTACGTCACCTCAGGACCACTGTTGTACAAATTGATTGTAGAACATGTGTGTTTGAACAATATGAAATCTGATTGTAAAACATGGGTGTTTGAACAATGTGAAATCAGTGCACCTTGAAATCAAACAGAATAATAGTGATTTTAGGGAACAAGGGAAGACAACCAAAGGTCTGACTCCCTGCGGGGTTGGGCAGAATACAGCCATATTTTTCTTCCTGCAGAGAGCCTATAAACGGACGTGCAAGTAGGAGAGATATCACTAAATTCTTTTCCTAGCAAGGAATATAATATAAAGACCCTAGGAAAAGAATTGCATTCCTTGGGGGAGGTCTATAAATGGCCACTCTGGGAGTGTCTGTCTTATGCGGTTGAGATAAGGACTGAAATATGCACTGGTCTCCTGCAGTACCCTCAGGCTCACTAGGGTGGGGAAAAACCCCACCCTGGTGAATTTGAGGTCAGACCAGTTCTCTGCTCTCGAACCCTGTTTTCTGTTGTTTACGATGTTTATCAAGACAATACATGCACAGCTGAACATAGACCCTCATCAGTAATTCTAATTTCACCCTTTGCCTTGTGATCTTTGCTTTGCCCTTTGCCTTATGATCTTTATTGGCCTCAGAAGCATGTGATCTTTGTGACCTACTCCCTGTTCATACACCCCCTCCCCTTTTGAAGTCCTTAATAAAAACCTGTTGGTTTTGTGGTTCAGGTGGGCATCACGGACCTACCAATATGTGATGTTACCCATGGCTGCCCAGCTGTAAAATTCTTCTCTTTGTACCCTTTTCTCTTTATTTCTCTGACCAGCTGACACTTAGGGAAAATAAAAAGAACCGACTTTGAAATATTGGGGGCTGGTTCCCCCGATAATCTGATTGTTAAAAGAGCTTGGCATCTTCCCCCTCTCTGTCTTGCTTCCTCTCTTGCCATGTGATGCACTTGCTCCACCTTCATTGTCCACCATGAGTAAAAGCTTCCTGGGGTTCTCACTAGAAGCAGATGCTGGCACCATGCTTCTTGTACAGCCTGTATAACCATAAGCCAAATAAACCTGTTCTCTTTATTAACTACCCAGTCTCAGGTATTTCTTTAAAGCAATGCAAAACAGACTAACACATTCTCTTGATTTTCTCTTGATTGTTGATTTTCTCCCACTGCTTTCAAGATATCTTCTTGGTCTTTAATTTTCAGAAGTTTAATTATGTGTCTTGGTGTGGATTTCTTTTGGTTTATCTTGTTTGAAGTTCTCCCAGAATCTTGTATCCGGAGGTTTATGTTTTTGGATAAATTTTTTTAAAAGTCAGAATTATTTATTTGGGGATATTTTTACCCCACTATCTTTTCCCTTTTTTTCTGTCAGTCTAATAATGCAAATGTTCTATCTTTTGATATTGTCCACAGAACTCTGAGGTTGTATTAAGTTTTTAAGTCTATTACTCTCTGTTCAGAGTGAGTAATTTCTGTTGTTCTAAGTTCAATGATTCTTCCCTCTGTTCTTACCATTCTGCTGCCGAGTACATCCATTAAGTTTTTATTTTGGTTATTGTATTCATCAGTTCCAAAATATATTTTTCATTTATTACAAGCATGTTCATAATTACTCACTGAGGTAATTTTATGATAGCTACTTAAAATTCTTTTCAGATAATTCTAACATCTGTGTCATCCTGGGTTTGGCATCTGTTGATTCTCTTTTCTTACTCAAGTTGAAATTTTTCTGGTTTTGGTATGAGTGATTTTTTTTTTTGTGGTATCCTGAACGTTTTTGGTATTATGTTATAAGGCCCTGGATCTTATTTAAGTCTGCTTTAACAAGCCTCACCTGATATCACTCTGGAAGGGAAATGAGTGTCCTGCCTCATTATTGCCAGGTGGGTCCTAGTTCCCCACTTGACCTAAGTAGCAGGGAGGTGGGTGGGGAGGGATGAGGCAAGGGCATCTACTCCTTAGGTAGGAGTGGAAATTTAGGTTCCCTCCTAGGTTTTCATTTATATTACCCTAGTTGGTATAGGAGGGGTGCCTTCTTACTGCTCTCCATGTGGCTTCTACTGACATCACATACATGGGGCATCCTTTTTACCACTGGATGGTGAGAAGGTCCTGCCTCTCCATTAGGCCTCCTGATACAGGCATGGTGGAGAAAGTGCAGCTCATTACCATTTGTTGGGGGTAGAAGTTCAGAATTCCTACCTAGTTTCTACTGACTCCATGGGGAGAGGGCTCATTGCAGCCAGGCATGACCTGTGGAAAACCACTGGACTTTGAGAGACCAGGAGAAACCAACAGAATGCTTATTCCATTAAATAAGATCTTCTCTTCAGAAAGTCCCAAGTTTATTTTTCACTTGAAAATCCTGGCTTCTCACTTGTTGTCTGACACCACACCAGTGGTAGAGAGGTTTTGTGGTGGGTGGGTCAGGTTCCATGTTACAGCCAGGTGAAGAAGGTAAAAGTCCAGGCTTCCCACTCAGTCTTTGCTGATGAGGTTGGAGGTATGGCCATTTTTATCCCATGGTGTTTCTCTAGGGCAGAGAGGTCAATGTCTAAACTTCTCTGTCTTGCCAGGTTGTCCCTTCCTGTTCCTTTATCTAGAGAGAACTGGCACTAGTTGGAATTTTATTTTGCTTATTTGTTTGTTTTGGTTGGTGTTTTTGGATTGCTGGCTTCTCCAGCGCCCGATCTGGGATAGATTAGGCAAGAAAAAAACCAAGGGAACTCTCTATCATGTTATTACCTGGGTCCTGAGGCTCCTAGTCAGTCTGAATCTTTCTCTCTACATTTCAGGCTTCTTATGTTTTTGCTGTGTATACCGCCCAGGACTTTTAGCAGGAGGCACAGGGAAAACCTTCCAGCAGGAGTGAGAAACATTTTACAAGAAAAGCACCTCTATTCCATGCTCATTTGAAAGTGGAACTGTTCCCCTCCAATTTGTAGACCTTTATTATTATTATTTCTTCTGCTAATACTTTTGATATTGTGTGAAACTATGGTTGGTGATGGGGGGACATCCCTGTTTTTCTCTTGGCTTCTGAGGGACAGCCTCTCATGTGTATCCATTGAACTTCTTTTAAAGAAGTAGCCTATTTTTCTTTTGTCTTGGTTATTTCCTAAAGTCAAGAATCATTGCTGAGGCCAGGCGTGGTGGCTCATACCTATAATCCCAGCACTTTGGGAGGCCAAGGTGGGCAGATCACCTGAGGTCAGGGGTTTGAGATCAGGCTGGCCAACATGGCAAAAACTAAAAATACAAAATTACCAGCCCGGCCACCCCATCTCTACTAAAAATATAAAAATTAGCCAGATGTGGTGGCAGGTGCCTGTAATCCCAGCTACTCGGGAGGCTGAGGCAGGGAGAATTGCTTGAACCCGGGAGGCGGAGGTTGCAGTAAGCCGAGATCGTGCCACTGCACTTCAGCCTGGGTGACAGAGCGAGACTATGTCAAAAAAAAATCATTGCTGAATTGCTGTCAATTTTTTTTGGTATTTATGGAGAAAATTATGAGCACACATTTATCCCCATTTTATAGAGAACACAGCTGACACCTCAAGAAGCTGAGTGCCATGCCCAACATTACATAGCTCAGATGTATTCAAGCCGGGATTCTACCTCAGGCCTACCTGGCTTCCGAGTCCACAGATTTTACAACTTAGTATACTTGTGACACACAGAAAGGACAGTGACCAGGTGACTTTGTTGACACAGCTCAGCAGTTTATAGGTGTACAAGAGGTGATGCTGTGTGACATGATAGGCTCTGTGGTTTTCTGTCCTGCATCTGCTGAAGTTCAACATATGGCTTTTGTCATGATGCTCCTGTACAGCTTGCTTTTAATTTATCTGCTCAGGAAGTCTCAACTTTCACATAGTGTTTGGTTGCCAGTAGAAACCCATTGTGATATTATTTTCCAGCTCATCTCATCAGGGCCTGTCCAAAGTCCAGTGGTTTTCTCCACAGGTCATCTAATGTGAGTGAGTCAGAAGCCATGGCTGCTGAATCATAAATTTAGAATCCACATGGCTCCTGATTCTTTCTTTACTGTGGCCACCAGATCATCCTCCTTGCTGAGCATGACAAAGCACTAACTAGTGAATGGGAAACATATTTCAGGGAAGCTAACACGGAGGTGAAAAATAGACTTGGGCTTTCTGAAGAGAAGGTCTTATTTAATGGAATAAGCATTCTATTGGTCTCTCAGGCAATACGACAACCTTTTGGGTAGAGCTTCTCAACGGGGTGCCAGGGCATGCCAAGTTGCTACAAATGGATTACAGGTGTGTCTGAGATACTGATCCTCTTAATTCTTGGGGCAGCCGGGCAGGTTCTGGGGCTCTCCAGAGTTGTGGCCTAGTTACCTCCAGCTGTGAGCAGCTCCTTCAATTTACCCTGGAAAGCCATGAAAAAGGTATCATTTTCTATGTGCACCAAGAGGAGAAAAAGGCTGGGAGCACTGTTTGTGGAGATGTCTTCAGAGTCAGGTACCATATTGCGGAGTTGATGAGCTCCAGTTTTCTGATGCTGTGCTAAGCTCCATTTACATTAGAACTATAGTGCTTTCTTGGGGGTAGGGGCTCTTCTGATTGTAAAAACAAAGAGTAACAGAGAGTGTCACTGGTCTCTGTGAAGGTGTGAAGGGTATAGATGGTATTAACATGTCTTGTTCACCAAATCATGGAATTCTGGAATGAAGGTGGACATTAGCTGAAGCTGAGAAAGATAGTTTGATAAAAAGTTAAGAAAACTATAGTTATTTCATCCAATAAGTTTAAAAACTAAGAAATGAAAATACCTTCAAACTGAGAACATAGAAACCCAAAATCTAAAGGTCTCTATTGGTTGTTTTTTGTTTTGTTTTGTCTTGTTTTGTTTTTTTTGAGACAGAGTCTCACTCTGTTGCCCAGGCTGGAGTACTGTGATGTGATCTTGGCTCCTTGCAACCTCCGCTTCCCAGCTTCAAGCGATTGTCCTGCCTTAGCCTCTTGAGTAGCTGGGATTACTGGCACGTGCCACATCCCGGCTAATTTTATATTTTTAATAGAGATGGGGTTTCGCCATGTTGGCCAGCCTGGTCTCGAACTCCTGACCTCAGATGATCCACCCTCCTTGGCCTCCCAAAGTGCTGGGATTACAGGCGTGCGCCACTGAGCCTGGCCTTCATTGTGTTTCTAAGGGAATTAAGGGACTCGAAGGACATCCTTACCCTCTGAGGTTGCTATCAGGTAGATAACCAAATTCATTTCAGAGCTCCTGGCTCCACAGTCAAGGACACATTGTCCAGCTTACTGGAGCATCTCTACTCTTTTCAGTTCTGCTGTGTCTTGATTTCCTTTTTGAGCCCCACTGTAGCCCCTTCCTTTACCAGCTATCCCCACAGCCCTTGGGCCAGGGTAGCTGTTATCATCTACCCAAGCAGCTGAGAGTGGAGGTAGTTTCAGAAGTGAGCATTTAGAGAAGTCAGTGGAAAAATAGGTTTGTTGCCTATTAAGCGTCTAATGTTTTTGACTATTAATGGAATATTCTGTGTCATATTGGGGTTCTTTTGGGGGTAGGTAAAAAGATTCACTCTACTTAGAGCACAGATGAGGTAAGGAGGGACCAGGGTGGGGCAAGAACAGGAGGAAGCAGTGGTCACAGGTGGGGCTGGCAGTTTATGTCCCACTGGAGCTGGGGAAGTGGAGTATGCTATCAGACGGGCAGGCAGTCTTCAGTTATTATCTGTTCTCACCATTGCTGCTGCTGCTGATGCTGCTATTGTTATTAATACCATTATGTCAGCACCACATATTTAGGGCTGATTATGAGTGAAGCTCTGTGCAGAACCTTTCACCTGCATTACCTTACTTAATCCTCCTGACAGCCCTGCAGCTTTAGTGTCATTGTCCAGATGAAGAAACTGAGGTAGAGATCGGTGATCCAGACACACAGACCTGTAGGTGATCCAGATACACAGAGTGAGAACTTGAACCCTACAGGGCTTCAAGTTCCATGTGCTTTCACCTCATCCTGTTGTCTTCCTAATCAGGCAAAGTTTCAGGGGCAGAGATTGAAGAAATGGTGGGGTATTCCAACAGAAGGGACACAGCAAAAGGAAATCAGGATGTGTGGGGTAGAATGGGTCCTAGAACACTGAAGAAGTGAGCAGAGAGAGCTTTCACCTGGGGCTGTGGATTTGGAAGCCCTCAGTATAGGGGTTAAAGCCAAGAGAAGGAATTAGCATGTCTAGCAAGGGTAGAATGAGTGAGGAAAGCAGTGGGCCAAAGAGAAGGTTGGAAAACACAAACAGGTAAAGGCTGGGCAGAAGAGGAGAAGTCCAGGGATGGGCCTGGGAACGAGTAGCCAGAGACATGGGAGGGGAAGAGGAAAGAGAATGAGTGGAATAAAAATGGGAAGAACTTGGGGCATCTTGGCTGCCAAAGAGCTCTTGTCTTCCATTCAGGTGGCCGAGCTGGCACTCAAGGCTGGAGTGGCTTCCAATGCTAGGGGAGCAAAGGCCTCGTGCAAGCGTGCTGCCATGGCGCCAGAAGCAGAGAGCAGGTCTGGTCCTAAAGCCAACATTCCCTGCTCCCCACGGGAAGGTGAACTCTGTCCAGCTTGTTCCAAGCACAGTCTCTACTGTTTGTTCACACTCAGAATACTTTTGCTAAAGCTCTGCAAAGCACTTGGATGATGCAAATCACCACTCTTTGCAAAGCACTACACCAAGGCTGGCTACTTTTACTTCAAGCTGCCTGAACATAATTGTGTCTGGGAAGTGCTCCTATTCCTGTCTGTCATCAGCACCTTTGGATTCAAAGTTGATCAAACTGTTCACCTCAATCTTTGCAATTTATATGTTTTTAAAGCCCTGGAGGTTGTGGGTATGGTTAACTGAACACTTCGATGAGTGTCAGATCCTTGCCATTTTTGACACCTTCTGAACATCTTGAAGCTGTTGTACAGACAAATCCTCAATTTATTTTGGACCACACTCTGGGATGGAATTGTTATGAGAGGTGTATTGGGAATATTTTTGTTGAATATTTTTAGAAATCTTGCATTCTTTAAAGGCATTCTTATCTTCATGAGATTCTACTAAAAAACCTGTTTGTGGGAGACACACAGTGGAATTTAAGAAAGAAAAGTGAAGGGTTCCTTTGGGGAAGGGGACAGTCATGTTGACTTAGAAAGCAATCACACTGCTGGCAAATGTATGGGATTCTGAAAGCTTACAGAAAGGGAATCTCCTAATAGACTAAGCTAGGCTTAGTGGGTTATCTGTGAACATTATGCAATATTTTCATGGGGTGAATTGGAGGAGAGGGAAGTAGGAAGAAGAGAAGGAGGAGAAAGTGGGAGGCAGAACAAAGAGGCAGACATTTCATTCCAACAGCCAAGGACTTGCACACTGGAAACAGTGACCCTGAAGTGCGCATCAGACTGTTGGCTCACAGGAGAGGCATGGCAGGACCCTTTCTTCTCTTTCCCAGTCACCCCCAACATTATTTGACTCATCCTTCTGGACATATTTCTAGCTGTACCTCTGAACTCTGAATGTTCCCCAAGCTCATTGCAATGCACAAGTGAAAATTATTCATATGTTTGGAGGTTACACAAAGCTGAAAATGCTGTCAGAAGTAAAGGGATACAGTTACACAATCAGGCCGATCTGTTATGAGAAAAGGACAGCTTTGCTGGTAACAGCCTAATGGCTAAGTGCTGAAGACAGGTAAAGCAAGATGAGGAGTCCCTTCTGGTCATCTTCAGGGTAGAGACAGTTGTCGTGAGCAGATGCTTAAGAGGATGCACATCAATCAAGGCAAGTGTCACAGAGCTGGATGCCAGCCACCCAGCTGGTTGCATGGAATCTTCAGAGATGACTCAGGGTATGCAAAATCAAAAGCAATGGAAGGAGAACAGACAGCAAAGTGCCAATACACTTTAAGACCAGGACGAGGCTGGGTTGCTCAGGGTCAGGGCAATGGATAGTGAGTCAGAATCTTGGGACCTCTCATCCTGTTTCTGCAAGGATCAAAGCAAGTGATGTTCTGTCTCACTCAAGTCACATAGCGAACTTCTCTTTACAAAAGAGGACTTGTAAATCTTCCTCCAAAGCATAAGTCAATGAATCTTTGGATGTTCCAGGAAACTTAACTGCTGAAGGGTGCTTGTGTTGATATAACTTAAGAGAAGGACTGGCTTTGCCACAGGGAGGCTCAGTGGTGTCCTCTACTGTGTGGTTGGGGGTGCTTAGAAGGTCTCCTATATGCAAGAATCTTTTTCACTATACCAGACATTCCACCATTGCAGTTAATTCCTTTGGACAAAATGTTACTGCCTAGAGCTACATCTCTTAAAGTACAGTATCCTGGGAAAGAGGTAAAGCCAGAATGTCTGCGCATACCAATGACATCCTTTCTCTCCGAGTCATTGTGAGACTTCTGGATAGTTGGAGAGGGGAAGGACGAAGGTTATGGAAGAGAAGCACGTGGTAGGAAGAGGGGAGGCTCTTGCACCTTCTGGAAGTCTTCAGAGAATTAAGAGCCTCAAACTCCAAAAGACATCTAATGAAATAAAAATTATTCGTCTTGGAACTTCTTTTTTTTAGGTTTCTGATCACATTTCAGGGTTTTGAGTACACAGAGTCATTGGCTTTCAGAGTTGCTGACAGTATTATGTTCCGTTAGAGCATGGCATCAGCCACCCCAGGGGCGAAACCCCATACCCACCACTTCTGTCTGTCTGTGACCATTTTTAACCACTCCAAGCTTCTGATTTCTCATTTCTAAAGTGCGGATAGTGATACTTACCTCCCAGATTTTCTATGAGTTTAATATAAAATACTAGATAATGAAAGCCCTAGTACACTCCCTTGAAAAATTTGTAAGAATGCTATAAAATGCAGAGTGTTCCACTTTGTGCAGGAAACCTTTTTTCAGCTCCCAAACTCCCTCAGTCTTTTAGTGAACTACAAGAACTACAAGAACAGTGAACTCACTACCACATGAGGCAGCTCTCTTCATTTCTCTAAAACTGGAATTGTCGAGAGATTCTTTGTTGAATCAGTATCTGCCTTTCTGCACCTTCCATCCATTAGTCATAGTTTTACTTCGTGGATTTTCTTAGCATACTTCTTACAATTCCCTTAACCTCTGCCATAACACCCTTAAGATCTTTTGAAGACAGCGAGGAAGTATTCTTGATGTCTTCACTTTTCAAGGCTAGGAAGTTCTATTTCCATCAAGCCGTACTCATCATCTAACATGGGTTAAGCCTCCAGCCACCTGTCTTGCCTCCTTTGGACTACGTAGAGATTTTAAAAAATCAATTTGCAAGTTATACCATTTATAGGTTTGGTATTTACAATTTTGTATAATTTATATAATGTTTATATATTTATTTTATGCAATTAAGAGCCTACTGTGTCGACACTGCACTGGGGGATGATACAATTCGGTGTCAACCACCTTCGAAGCAGCTTTTCCCATTTCAGCCTCCACAGCAGCAGGTCCTTCAGCTCTAATTGAGCATCAACACCAGTCAGTGCTTCTCTTTCTGTGGTTAAGAATCAGTTTTTAAAATTTCTAATCTAAAGCAAACCAATATTTTTGTAAAATACAATAAAGATAAATCACTAGAAGAACTAAATAAGCACATAAAATACAAACACAAAGTAGATTTTTATCATTAGATTTACAGACATAAAATTATGTTTCAATAAATGTTAGCAAAACAAACAGCACAGGAAAACAAATTACACAGATTGAACATGTTTATTACAGGCATGAATATAGGCAATTAATATAAAGAATTGTTATTACATTGGTAAGTTTTTATCATTCTGCAATAGTGCAGTGAATTATGAGTGAAATAGGGATTTCTGTATTAAAAATCTGTACAGGTTGTCTGAATGAATACTAGGATAAATATTTTAGTACAACTAATGAGTTAGCTTCTTGCTTACTAATTAATCTGATCAAGGTTGGATTAATAACCTATATCTTGTATTTCTCACTCATTGGTTCTAATTCTTTCAGACCACAACATTCAAACCACAACTAATACGTCTACTTCCCCCTATATGTGACAACCTGCTAGACATTTAATAGCAGGTGTCAAGTATCCTTTAAGTTTTCTCTTTCCAGGTAAGTCATGCTTTTCCTCCACTTACCCGTCATATGACATGGATTCTAGGATCTTCACCTAGTCACTCTCTGGCTCTCTTGTTGTTAAGTGTTCCTAACATATTGAGTGTTCATTTACCTCCAATACTCTAATAGACATAGTGTTTTTGTTTTCAATTGAATGAGAAGACTTTGACAGATGGTATAAATGGATTTAAGTTCTAGCAGAAAAAAAAAAAACGCCCCTCACATGTTTCTCTCTCTGTTTTTTTTTCTCTCTCTCTTCTTTCTAAAGCTTAAAATTTTTTCTGCTTGGGTAATACCATTCAGGACATAAGCACGGGTAAAGATTTCATGACGAAGATGATAAAAGCAATTGTAACAAAAGCAAAAATTGACAAATAGGATCTAATTAAACTAAAGAGCTTCTGCACAGCAAAAGAAACCATCATCAGAGTAAACAGACAACCTACAGAATGGAACAAATTTTTTGTAATCTCTCTGTCTGACAAAGGTATAATATCCAGGATCTATAAGGAACTTAAACAAATTTACAAGAAAAAAAAAACTCCATTAAAAAGTGGGCAAAGGACACAAACAGACACTACTGAAAAGCAGACATACGTGTGACCAACAAACATATGAAAAAAAGCTCAGCATCACTGATCATTAGAGAAATGCAAATCGAAACCACTATGAGATATCATCTCAGACCAGTCAGCATGGCTATTATTAAACAGTCAAAAAACAACAGATGCTGGCAAGGTGGTGGAGAAAAAGGAATGCTTTCACACTGTTGGAGGGAGTGTTAATTAGTTCAACCATTGTGGAAGACAGTGTAGTGACTCTTCAAAGACATAGAGGCAGAACTACTGTTTGACCCAGCAATCCTATTATGTGGTATATACCTAAAAGAATATAAATCATTCTACCGTAAAGACACATGCACATGTATGTTCACTGCAGCACTATTCACAATAGCAAAGACATGGAATCAACCTAAATGCCCATCAATGATAGACTGCATAAAGAAAATGTGGTTCACATACACCGTGGAATACTATGCAGCCATAAAAAGGAATGAGATCATGTCCTTTACAGGGACATGGATAGAGCTGGAAGCTATTATCCTCAGTAAACTAACACAGGAACAGAAAATCAAACACAGCACATTTTCCCTTATAAGTGGGAGATGAATGATGAGAATGCATGGACACATGGAGGGAACAACACATACTGGGGCCAGTCGAAGGGTGGGAGCTGGAAAGAGGGAGAGTATCAGAAAGAATAGCTAATGGATGCTGGGCTTAATACCTAGGTGATGGGGTGATCTGTGCAGCTAATCACCATGGCACGCATTTAACTATGTAACACACCTGCACATCCTGCACATGTATCCCTGAACTTAAAGTAAAAGTTGGAAATAAAAAAAAGTTTTCGCTTTTTTAAAAGGGAAAGACTACAACCGTTATGGAAAACAGTATGAAGGTTTCTAAAAAAATTAGCAATAGAACTACCTTATGATTAGGCAATCTTACTTCTGGCTGTATATCCAAAGGAAATGAGATCAGTATCTCAAAGAGATATCTGCACTCCCGTGTTTAATTGCAGCATTAACAAGTCCCAAAATATGGAAATGACGTAAGTGTTTGTCAACAGATGAATGAATAAAGAAAATGTGGTATATATGCAATGGTATATTTTTCAGCCATAAAAAAGAAAACAATCCTGCCTTTAGTAACAATATGGATGAACCTGGAGGACATTATGTTAAGTGAAATAAGCCAAACACAGGAAGACAAATACTGCACAATCTCACTTATATGAGGAACCTAAAAAAGCCAAACTCTTAGAAGCAGACAGTAGAATGGTGGTTACTGGGGCTGGGGAGCAGGATGAGATGCTGGTCAAAGGGCACAAACTTTCAGTTCTAAACTAAATGAATTCTGGGGATCTAATGTACATCATGCTGTGTATAGTTAATAATACTCTATTTTTTTTTACTTGAAATTTGCAAAAAGAACAGATCTGTTTTATAAACTTTTATTTTAGGTTCAGGGGTACATGTGCAGGTTTGTTATACAGGTAAATTGCTTGTCATAGGGGTTTGTTGTACAGATTATTTCATCCCACAAGTAATAAACATAGTACCCAATAGGTAGTTTCTCTATCCTCTCACTCCTCCCACCTTCCACCCTCAAGTAGGCCCTGGTGTCTCTTGTTCCTTCCTTCCTTCCTTCCTTCCCTCCCTCCCTCCCTCTCTCCCTCCCTCCCTCCCTCCCTCCCTCCCTCCTTCCTTCCTTCCTTTCCTCCCTCCCTCCCTCCTTCCTTCCCTCCTTCCTTCCTTCCTTCCTCCCTTCCTTCCTTCCTTCCCTCCCTCCCTCCCTCCCTCCCTCCTTCCTTCCTTCCTTTCTTTTTAATTTTTTTTGAGATGGAGTCTCACTCTGTCACCCAGGCTGGAGTGCAGTGGTGCAATATCGGCTCACTGCAAGCTCTGCCTCCTGGGTTCACGCCATTCTCCTGCCTCAGCCTCCCAACTAGCTGAGACTGCAGGTGCCCGCCACCACACCCGGCTAATTTTTTGTATTTTTAGTAGAGATGGGGTTTCACTATGTTGGCCAGACTGATCTTGAACTCCTGACCTTGTGATCCACCCGCCTCAGCCTCCCAAAATGCTGGGATTACAGGCATGAGCCATTGCACCTGGCCTTTCTTGTTCCTTTCTTTGGGTTCACATGTTCTCAATGTTTGGTTCCCACTTATAAATGAGAACATGTGGTATTTGGTTCTCTGTCCTGTGTTAGTTCACTTAAGATAATGGTGTCTAGCTCCATCCATATCCCTGCAAAGGACATGATCTCATTCCTTTTTATGGCTGTATAGTATTCTATGGTGTATATGTACTACATTTTCTTTATCCAATCTATCATTAATGGGCATTTAGGTTGATTCTATGTCTTTGCTACTGTGAATAGTGCTGCAATGAACATATTCATGCATGTGTCTTTATGGTAGAATGTATTTTTTTTTTGAGACGGAGTCTTAATCTGTTGCCCAGGCTAGAGTGCAGTGGTGCAGTCTTGGCTCACTGCAACCTCTGCCTCCTGGGTTCAACTGATCCTCCTGCCTCAGCCTCCCAAGTAGCTGGGACTATAGGCACACGCCACCATGCCCAGCTAATGTTTTTGTATTTTTAGTAGAGATAGGGTTTTGCCATGTTGGCCAGGCTATCTTGGACTCCTGGCCTCAGGTAATCCACCGGCTTTGGCCTCCCAAAGTGCTGGGATTACAGGCACGAGCCACCGCACTCATCCCTATGGTAGAATAATTTATATTCATTTTGGTGTATACCCAGTAATGAGATTGCTGGGTTGAATGGTAATTCTGTTTTAAGTCCTTTGAGAAATCACCACACTGCTTTCCACAATGGCTGAACTAATTTATATTCCCACCAGCAGTGTATAAATGTTCCTTTTCCTCTGAAACCTTACCAGCATCTGTTATTTTTTGACTTTTTAATCATAGCCATTCTTACTAGTATGTGATGATATCTCATTGTGGCTTTGATTTGCATTTTAAAAGAGCAGATCTTAAGTGTTCTTACCACACACGCACACAAAATGGTAACTCTGTGAGGTGATAGATACGTTAATCAGCTTGATTAGGACAGTTATTTTACAATATATGTGTATATCACATCATGTTGTACATCTTAAATATATACAGTTTTTGTCAATTATACCTCAATAGACCTGGAAAAAAGTAAAAGGGGCAATTGGCCATACCGGCTTCAGCTGTGAACAGAGGTACAGTGTTGGTGGTGAGAAAATTGTCCTGCCTTTTATGGGGCTTTTTCCTCTACTCCATTCACAGGGGCCTTCTGACAGTTATTTCATATTTCACACACTTTTCTGCCTTCAGGCCAGAAGATATACTCTTATGTCTCCATTCATTCATTTATAGATATGTATTGATATGTATTCAATACTCTTCTAGGACCTGATTGTATAATGGTAAACACAACCAATGTTGTTCCTGCTTTCATAGAGTTTTCATTTAAGTGGATAAGACAGACAAACAGATCAAAGGATGAAGAGAGGTTTCCAGGTATGTGTGTGTGTGTGTGTGTACGTGTGTGTGTGTGCAGATATAGAAGAAAATGATTCCCAGTACATGCAATGGAGTGGGAGTAGGCTCCAAAGCATAGATTGGATTAGGAGAGTAGTCCTTCTGGTGCCTGCTGCATTGCTGATTTCTAGCTCATGAGCGAACACTGGGATGTGAGTTCCACAGAGGCAGAGCACATGCTCGCCTCATTCATCCACCTTCTCAAGGTCTTTCACCAAGGAAAACACTGGTCACTGGGAGAAGAAACGAGGGCTGGCAGGCCCCCAAGGGGGCATCAGCCATCCACATTCATCATGAGAAAGATCAAGGCTGGAGATGGGTTGAGCAGATGCAAAGCCAAAGCTTCTGTGCTTTCCAGCAGAGTCTGCTGGAAACCTGGGAGGAGACAAGGCTGGGTGAGACCCATGGTAAGGCCCTTATGGGAGTTTGATCCGTTTGGCATTTTTACTTTATATATGAAAGTCATCTCTTTGCCAAGGCCACAGACCATGCTGTCTGCTTCTTTGAATCTCTTGATCAGCACAGAGCTGGGCATGCCAAGTGTACTCAGAGAGTTCTTGCCACATTATTTACCTTGCAAATTTGTACCTACTTCTTTGCCCTCTGATGGGAGGAAGGCACAGTGCATTGTCCCTTGATTTTACTGTAGGTCCACACTGGAAGAGTCTCCTTTCTGTTCTGATACAATCATATTCCAAGGCCCTATTCCAGTTTTTTCTGATCCATGAAGTTTCCTCTGATTAGAACAGCCCGTAGGTTCCTCTCCCCTCTCTAGGCTTTTGTTGTATTTAAAGCCCTCACACCTAACACCAGAATTCATCTCAGATTGCAGGACATGGATGAGTTCTGAATGCAGGCTCTCTTGGAGGATAACTGGGCTTCTCTCTTCTCTGTGGGCACAGCCTACAGGGGACTGGGCTAGCTGGCCAGCACCCATCCAGATAGACTCTTTGGGAAGGTACATCCAGGAAGGGTGGCTGACTTGGGGACCAAGATTGCATGTGCACCCCCTGGCTGCATAGCTCATTTCTACTGTCTGAATCACATCACATGAGCCTAATGTTTGTTTTGGAGAAGGTTGCAAAATTAATGGATGAAATAAATGCAGCAGATGCTACCTATTAGAGAAGAATTTTATGTAGCAGGCCATGAAAATTTTGTTTGCAAAATAAGATCTAATTAGCTTGGCTTGTGCTAGAATATAATGAATTAAAGTGACAGAGTAATTAATAACAATAGTTTGGGTCTCTTCCCCAGTTTTGCTTCCATTTGTGTTATTTGTTGAAATCGTTTTTGCCAAGGTCTCCTATTTGAAACCAACCCTGAGAGTTTTTCCTCAATGTTCACATGCCCCCATATGGGAGATGATTCTAGCAAAGCAATTTTTTTCCTATAGGCTCCATGATCTTTATTATTTTGGCTGCTGGAAAATCTTGGCTTTGATCCCTTCCTCGTTGGTCTGACAAGTGTTTTGAGGAGTCTCTTCTGTTTTGCCATCCATCCGTCATTCTGTCCATCCAGCAATGTTTTGCCATCCATCCATCATTCTGTCCATCCAGCAAACATCTATGAGCATTAGAGAATTCAAGTAAAAGATGGTGCTGTTGTTAGGGAGCTGATAACTTAGTGAGAAAGACAGAGAATAGTGTCTCAAGAGCTATAATACAGCTGTGTGCTGGGTATTATCAAGAACAGAGTGTGTGAATCAGCTTGGGGGCAGTGAAAATAGTTTCAGTAAGTTTTTTTCAGCTTTATTGAGGTATAATTGACAAATAAAAGTCTTACACTGCATATTCAGGGTATACAGCATAATACTTTGAGATATATATATATATATATATATACACACACACACACACACATATTGTGAAATGATCTCCACAATCAAGCTAATTAACATGTCTCTCATCTCATATAGCTACCATTTGTGTGTGTGTGTCTGTATGGTGAGAATACTTAAGATCTAGTTTCTTAGCAAATTTTAAGTAAAGAATACCTTATTAGCTATAGTCACCATGTTGTACATTAGGCATCCAGAACTTATTCATCTTATAACTAAAAGTTTATAACCTTTAACCAACATCTCCCCATTTTGCCCACCCTTTAACCCCCAGTAACCATTGTTCAACTCTCTGTTCCTATGAGTTTGACTTTTTAAGATGTTGCAGCAATAGTGCAGTATTTGTCTTTCTGTGTTTTATTTCACTTAGTATATCTTTTGTTTTATCCCTGTGGTCACAAATGACAGAATTTCCTTCTTTTTTTAAGTTGGAATATTATCCCATTGTGCACACACACCACACACACACACACACACACACACACACACACCACATCTCCTTTATCCATTTATCCATCAGTGGATACTTAGCTTATTTCCACAGTTTGGCTATTGAGTTTCACTGAGTTTTGAGGGAAAAACAGAAGTTATATTGAGTGGAAACTGCTGATGGATTTAAGAAGAGAATGACATGATTGGATCCTTAGCTTAGAAAGATTACTCTAGAAGCACTGTGGAAGACGGGTTGAAGGAGGACAGGGAGGAACCCAGAGGATAATATCATATCACATAATCCAGCAAGAAAAGCCTGGGGCCTGAGCTAAGACAGAGCCAGTGAATAAAGGATGGCAAGAGATATTAATACATAGACTTTAGAAGACTGGAGACTGATTGGGGCCCGGGGGTTGGTAACAGAGAGTGAGCTGGACGGGGTTATTAATAGAATGAGACTGGGTTTTCTGGATTTGTGCTTGGGTGGATGGTGACATGAGGAACACAGGAAAGAGGCAGTTTTGGGAACAGGAGAAAGGGGAAATATGAGAGCTAACATTTATTTAGCACTTACTGTTAAACAGGCATGTGTCTAAGCAGTTAATCTCACAATGGCTCTGTAAGCTAAATACAATTATCCCCATTTTACCAATGGAGAAACTAAGGCACAAATGAACAGGGTTTTAAAGTTAGTTAGTGGCAGCGCAGTTTGTTTCCTGGGCTAATCCCACCCTGCCTTAGAGATGATGGGTTCACATTGATCTTTGCAACATCCACAGGCCAGGCAGGCAGTTGCATTGTAGGTGTCTTCCTCAAAATGATAAACAAGGACACCTTTCAGTAGGGTCATTTGGGGCAATTAAAATGAGAAGCTGACAAAGTTCTCCTTAAAAGCTTCAGCCATACATGTTGGCTAGTTGCTTTCTATAACTTGATTTGTGAAGTGCTTCCTGCTGCTTTAGATGTCTGATGCCACTCAACTGGACACATACTTATTAAAGATCTACTATGTGCTTTGTGCTCTGCAGTGGGCTATATCACAATAATCAGAACAGATGTCATCTCTTCATCTGAGTTTACAGAGAGCATTTCTATCAAGGACTGGGTTTGGAAAAGAGCTGATATTGACTGTTCCTCCTTTGGCAACAGTACTAATCACCCTTTTGAAGCTTTGGCTCTCACTGTGAGATAAAGGTCTGTAGTTCCTGGAGGTAAATTAGGAGAGAGAGAAGAGGAGGTGATAATCAGGGGAGCTTTCCAAAGACCTCTAAAGTTTCATCAGCCCGGGATTCCTGATGATTTCCCATCTTCCCAGCCTATGATCTCACTGCTTCCCAAGCACTCACTGCTGTCGGTAGTTGTTGAAAATGTGCACAGCTTTCTGACTGTTCCTGATCCTCTCTTCCTTGGTTCAATCCCAAAACTTCCACGAAAAACCTGGCCTCATTAAACAAGACCTGTGGTGTTCAAACTCAAAGGAAAAGAAAATAGGATAGAAATCATGAAATACTTCCTGACAGCATGTGTCTCCAGGGGACTGGGGACTCTTAGCAAGGAGGGAGATCAAACACTGGAGGGAGGACTGGACAGAACAACCTAACTGTCAGGAGATAAATAAGGTGATCTCTTGGGTGCGTCCCGTCTCTTAGTTCTTATATTTCCTGAACTCTCAGGCCCTTCAGAGTTTGTTCAAGATGAGTAGCTGCTTCCGAGTAGGACAGATCGCTCATTCCAACTTTGGTTAGTTATACTGAAGGTCTGAATTTTCTCAGCAAGTGGGCTCAGGTCTGTCTTCTGGTCCCCCTGTGTGGTATAAACCCATAAGTGGTTTTCCTTTAAGGGAAGCCCCTGAGATTTTATCCCATAGAGCTCAGAGCTCCTTCCCATTTTCCTTGAAACCTCTCCTTTTTAACACACACAGAGGTTCTTTATCTCCTCTCCCCTGCCACAGTTGTGTGGGTGAAATTCCTCACAATTTAAGTCTTGCTTCTCATCCAGGTTAGTGTGGTCTGTAATTGCCTTTGGCTCTTCGTACTCAAGCCATAGTCTCTCCAGGATCAAAATTTGGAAATTTCATTACCCCTTGCTTTGGTGTCCTGAGCAAGTCCATGTTTTGGGACATGGCATGCCTTCCTAACCTTTCAACCAACAAGAGCATCAGTGTCGTTACACGATACCTCCAGGTTACAGTTTCTAATTTAGCACACTTCCTCTGTAGGGACTATCCAAGAGAAATATTTCTCGCGTGAAATTATTTTTGGAGACTTTCCAAATCAACAAGTCACTTCTCTACCCTCAAGGGGTTGGAGGGCTGTGGATTTGCCAAAGTTAATAATATTAATCTGTCCATCATATTAGAAATTCATTGTGTTTGAGAATAAAGGGAGCTATTCTTTCCGGGTCTGACCCTGAGTGGAACTGCTTTCTTCTCTGTGGCATCCAGCCTGTGGAATGCTTTGGGGTGCACCCCTGAATCCAAGCTCACCCTTTTCTTAGGATTTTAAATCGAAGGATGCCACGTAATCATAGACAGCCAAGAGATTGCTGTGCTCCTCAGTGCTTCTAGCCTTAAGACTTTCCTGGCTGGAGTCCTGAGTCCTTCCAGGGTTGCACTGTTACATAAAAGACTAACTATGTAGCCTTTGGGGTATGGTTATTAGGAGACCAGTCCCTGCAAGTAGGTGGTTGGGATCTTTGCCTTTTGTTAATTCATGACCCAAGAATTCAAAGTGAAATGGTTAGCCCAGGAGAAAAAAGGCAATAAAAATATTTCTGAGCATTTACAAGCACTTGTTTACAATAAGTATTACCTTATTTAACTCTCCCAACAACTCTATGAGGTAGGAATAATTTCTATTCACCTTTTACAGATGAGGAAACTGAGGCATGGTTAAGTAACTTGTTTAAGATCACATAGCTAATATGTGGTGGAGCCAAGATTTGAACCCACCCTTTCTATCTTCCTAAACACAGTGATGTTCAGGTGTTCATTCAAGCTTGGGCTTTACTAGCATTTAGTACAGATATCAGCACCTCACACAGTGTCACATGGTAGGAATTCAGAAAATACTGAACTGAAAAAAGCCTGGAAAGAGATGCCAAATTTAAGATCCCTTTCACACACATGCATGCTAGTTTATTAAACATGAGGACATCTTGGTTCTAAATCAGGCAGTACATTTGTAAGGAATTATTTTAGAATTGACACTGAATTAGTTAAAGAGGTTTGGAATTATGAAGTCTTCATATTAGCTTTCTTTTGCTTGTAAAATAAACATGCTTGCAATGAACTTTAAAAATTAAGATGGTGCAGTATGTGCTTTGTTTGGAGTCAGTCATACCTGGTTTGTTCTCAAGGCTACTATTTTCTGGCTCTGTGACCTCCATGTAGGCCACAGAGTTCTTATCACAGAATGAACAGTAGGGGGTACATGATTCTTCTTAGATTTTGCAGCCCCAACTGTCTACAGATCTAGGATTCTAAGAGCCAATGGAAGGTATTTAAGTCTGTGGTCAATTAACTAATTGATCTTTTGATAAGCACTATATTAGTCAGGGTTCTCTAGAGGGACAGAACTAATTGGATAGATATATGTATGAAGGGGAGTTTATTAAGGAGTATTGACTCACATGATCACAAGGTGAAGTCCCACAATAGGTCTTCTGCAAGCTGAGGAACAAGGAAACCAGTTTGAGTCCCAAAACCTCAGAAGTAGGGAAGCCGACAGCATAGCCTTCAGTCTGTGGCTGAAGGCCCAGGATCTCCTGGCAAATCACTGGTGTAAGTCCAAGAGTCCAAAAGCTGAAGAACTTGGAGTCTGATTTTCAAGGGCAGGAAGCATCCAGTGTGGGAGAAAGACAAAGTCCAGAAGACTCAGCAAGTCAGCTTCTTCCATCTTCTCCCGCCGGCTTTTTTCTAGCCGCACTGGCAACTGATTAGATGGTGCCCACCCAGATTCAGGGTGGGTCTGCCTCTCCCAGTCCATTGACTGAAATGTTAATCTCCTTTGGCAACACCCTCACAGACACACGCAGGAACTTTACTTTGCATCTTTCAATGCAATCAAGTTGACACTCAATATTAACCATCTCAAGCACCTATAAGGCATTTTCTAGAGGCACTAAGGATTTGCAGAAAGTTTAGAAGCAATCCCTGACTCAACCTAGTTACAGGGATGGAATCGGTGGGTAAATGGAACCAGCCGTTGTGTTCTGAGGAAATGCTGTGTGGGTGACTGGGATAGTGGACACCAGCAATGTTCAGACGGACAGAGCTGTGTGGTTCAGCATGGTCAGGCAAGTGGCATTTAGGGATGAGAAACACTCTAGCAATGGACAGGAGAGAGAGAGGGGATTCCAGCTAGGGAGCTTGGCATGACCAGAGACATGGAGGTGGAAGATGCAAGGCTGATTCTGGGAGGATGGACAGGAGGGCTCATAGTTTGTTTAGCATAAAGTACACTTTAGTACCCAACATTCCCAATCAGAGCAATACTGGCTGGGTAAAAGTAGGGCATTCTAGATTCTGATCTTGGCTTTTATCCCTAATTAGTTGGTGACACGAAACCTCTCTGGATGTTTCTTTTTTCCCCTGTAAAACAAGAATTTTAGAATAAATCAATGCTTCACATACACTTTCAAAATATGGAACACTCAGATAATAAAAATATGTGTACAGACTAACTTGGACAGGATTAGGAGGCATCTATGTGGGGCTTGGAGAGAACATTTATCACATATTTTATAATTATGACAAAAATAATATATACATTATTAGAGAAAATATAACAAATTCTAGTATTTTAAAACTTACTTCTTTGGTGATAACTTTTTAAACATAGTTTTTATTCTTGAAATGGCTGCACACAAGTCCTCATCGATACTTTTTAATGATGATGCCTTCAAATTCTTAAGTCATCATTTAAGATAAATGATGTTTACACAAATTCTCAAAGAAATAATGCTTGCTCAGTGGTATGGAAAAAGGTAGAAGAGTTTTCATATTAATTTATTGTCTTCTAGTGAATAGAAACCTTTTCTTTCCCTTAGCCAGACTATAGGTGATTTAGTCTCTTTAAAGTTTAAATTACAACATCAAATACATGATCCTTTATTTAAATTTAACAGGATTCTTTTTTCTTTTTTCATTGGTAGATGTAATGCCGAAATTTCTTATGGGAATATAATTGGATTTTAAATCCAATTGAATATATAACTCCAAAATGATAATTTTTTCATATGTTGCTCTACTGGTCTTAGTAATTCTTAGTTATTAGTATTCAAACAATTAGCATTCAAAGTATTACTTAAATATTAATGAACCATATTATTAACTTCATTTTTCAAAGATGAGTTTTTGCTTCGAATCCATAAGCCTTATAAATGTACTTTAGTGTGTTTTTATAGGGACTTTGCAATTTCCAATTAAGTTAATTCAGGTGTCAAACTACTTCCTGAAGCTAATAATTGTCCTTAAGCAAATCTGCAAAGTGGAGCTTATTCCTCTCCCTCACCCCATGAAATTTTTTTTTCTTTACTAGCTCATACCCTCTTTAAAATTTTTCTTTTGGACAGCTAAGATAATTTTATTTAAAACAACAGAGTTATATTGTGATCAAATTTCTTCGTATAAACTGTAGTGCATGGGTTTTATTAGGATCACCATCATGATAACATGATTTAATATAGAATTCAGATGTTTGTACAGGAGACCCTGTGAATAAAGCTCTTATCTGAATCCCATGATGTCAGATGTTGAGGGAGATGTAAAACCTGTTGTCCTACTGTCCTATCATTGCAGCAAGACCACTTCAGGTCACAAACCAACATCACTTTTCCTTCATATCAGATTTGTTACAGACTTACAAAGTATTGATTTTAACACCTTAAGTATTTATTTTACTTCCAATAGTTTGTATTGATGTTTTTCTACAGAACAAATAGTATTTTTCCAATCATTTCTTCCTCATTAGTATTAACTAGTGTTATTAATTGAACAGTTACTATTGTCTATACATTCATAAATGCAAAGTTAAAATATGTTTTAGGCCGGGTGTGGTGGCTCACACCTGTAATCCCAGCACTTTGGGAGGCTGAGGCAGGTGGATCACGAGGTCAGGAGATTGAGACCATCCTGGCTAACATGGTGAAACCCTGTCTCTACTAAAAATACAAAAAATTAGCTGGGCATGGTGGCACATGCCTGTAGTCCCAGCTACTCAGGAGGCTGAGGCAGGAGAATCACTTGAACCCGCGAGCCGAGATTGTGCCACTGTACTCCAGCCTGGGCGACAGAGCGAGACTCCGTCTCAACAAACAAACAAAAATAACATGTTTTAATTTAATGATCTCTTAGATTAATGTCTAGGTCATTTGACATGTTGTCTACTAACAGTATTATTCAAAAGCAGACCCTTTCCTATTTCTTCCTTCTTTTGGCCCCAAACACAGTGCTGATAATCTTTCAGGTTGGTAAAATGTCCAGTTCTGCAATTTCTTGAGGTATTTTGTTCATAGCTTTAATCGACCTTGTAAAAAGATTCTTAAGCTGATCTTATATTGCTGTAACCAAATTAACGAAAGAACTTCGGTCCTTAAAAATGTCATGTGTACACTATAAATATGTATAACTTTTATTTGTCAAATTAAAAAATACCTTTGGTCTTTGTTTTCAACTTGCAGGTACATAAGCATGTTCATATCTTTTTCTTCATAAGAGGGATGTTTTAGAGTGATGTCTGGCATAAGTTTTTTGTTGACACCATTGTTCCATTTAATATATTTGCCAAGGGAAAAAACATTTACGCTGAGGAAGATAAGAATTTGGGAGACAGACAAATGAAACTTGAGACATTCTTCATTATATTGCCATATTGCTGACATATTTTGACTACTCTGCTTATTGTATGAGTCTTCTGAATTTTTTAGCTTAAATCAGAATGACTTTTATAGTGGAGAAATAAATATCTGTAAAAATTATTAAATAAATATCTGTAAATATTTAAATATGAAGTAGAGTCATGCATCATTTATCTACAGGGATACCTTCTGAGATATGTGTCATTTGGTGATTTTGTCATTGTGCAAACATCATGGAGTGTACTTACCAAAACTAGATGGTATGGCCTTCTACACAACTAGGCTACATGGGATAGCCTATTTGATCCCAGGATACCCACCTGTATAGCATGTTACTATACTGAATACTGTAGGCAGTTCTAACACAGTGGTATTTGTGTATCTAAACATACCTAAAAATAGAAAATGTACAGTAAAAATAAGGTATTATAACCTTATGGGACCACTGTCGTATATGTGGTCGCTGAGTGAAACATTGTTGTGTGACACATGACAGGTATTTAAGGGGACTGTAGGATTTTAGTTTCAGAAAATCATCTACATTGTTAAGTTGCACAGAAGCATTGAAAATGTAAGCATATGGTAACAAAATGGAAACGTTCAAATACTAATATAACAACTAAAACTCTAAAATAATTTCAAAATGTGCCTATTATACTCATTTATAAGAAAAATCTTGAAAATCTGATATCTTGGAAGTGTAAATGTTAATAGTATCCCTTAATGAATTAGTTTAATTATAATATGTTCAATATTATCTGGTTTAAGAAATATTATTTACAAAATTTTGACACAGTAATTTATTATGAAGTTGCACTAGGAATCAGAGAATTTTTAACATACATATATATGTACACACACACATATATATGTATACACATATATGCACACACATACACACACACACATATAAAATGCCCACATGCAAATGGGTGGTTTTTATGGACCGCAAAGTTATCATTAGAAAGTCTGCTAACAACTAAACTGCAGATTTCTGAGCACCGCCTTTTGTAGGTTTGCATGTGTGAAGACAGATGAATGTAGCAATTAAGAGGTTTGGCTGTGGAGTCAGACTAAAGAAAATTCAAATTCAAACGCTGTTACTTGTTAGCCCTGTGACTTTGACTTTGGGCAACTACTGAAACTACACCTAATGTTTACAAGGTGAACAGTGGTGCCTACCTCATAGAGTTGTGAGGATTGAATGAGATAGTTTATAAAACATGCTTAGCGTAGTACCTGGTAACTAGTAGGTATTCACTTAATCAATGGCAGCTGCTCTTTCTGTTGCTGCTACTAGTATCATTAGTGAATTTTTCAGCTGGGAGGTTAAGATGCCTTACTGCTTAGCGGCGGTGCTTCCTTTTCCTGTTTTTGGAGCCTGGGAACATTTCCTGGAAATACAGCATGTCAGTGTGGGATGGACCTGAGGGAACATGCACCCAATTGCCCTGTTGGGAGAGTGGGCCATTCCCTCAAGGGGCTCTCAGAGTTGTCAAGGTGGATGGCTATTGGGTGCTATATCCAGGATTAAAGGCCAGGCCTTCTGATTCCTAGTGTAGGATTCTTTCCGCTGCATCTATGAGTTTAAACACAATCTTATTCCTTATGAAGATGTGCTGCTCATTTCACCCCTTCTTATTTGGTTCTCTTCTATGCCAGGTTAGTTAAGATTTCCTCTGGGACAAAGCACATTATTTATGTTCTCCCTGACCTGAAAGAGCACATGGATTTGGTTTATTCTTTCTTCTCCCACTGACCTCCGAGAATTCTTTAGAGGTAGGAGTTTGTGGCTGTCATTTTAAAATTATAAAACTTGAAGAGTTTGATCCATGATAAGGACCTAAAAAATGCACATGATTACTTATTACCAATGGCAATTTTCCAGAGGTCAATGGGTAGGGAGTGACTGTGAGACACTACCAAGAATTTCATGTAATCAATGCCTCTGGTGTTCAAGCCTTGAGGACTGCTCATTCTGGATCCGTGTATGGCTCCTTATAATAACCAGTTGATGATTGACCATGCATATGAAGAGAAAGATGAAAGATTTCTTAACAAAACCATTTGGCCTCAACTTCTGGCAGATGTATCCACAACAGCCAATTATTTGAATAAATGTTAAATGTTAAGAAATGGGTTTTGGTAACATGTCATACTCCATCTTGGTCAGGCAACTAAAAGTGCAATTTTGAATCATTAGGGCCTTGGCATTTTTCATTCCTCCATTGGATACGAGTGCTGCATTTTAATGGTGGAGAGAACTCCAGGAGAGGAACCATTGTTATGAAATCAAACTGAGACAGACATCTGTTTGGAAGACTCAGGCTCATCTCTCATTTCCCCAAAGCACTTCATCAAGGTTAAATAAGAAAACATTTGGCTTCTACTTTTATGTCTTGAACTCCTAAAACTATGTAATCATGTTTTTTTGATAACTCGGGGCCAAGTATGGATCAGGTGTGTCTGTGTTACCTGGCCTGGCTGACGGGAATGATCAAGTTCAACACTTAATTGTCAAGTTTCCCTTTGCCTTTGTGCTGTTTAGATAGA
The DNA here is from genome assembly GCF_000001405.40 of Homo sapiens. Taxonomy (NCBI): domain Eukaryota; kingdom Metazoa; phylum Chordata; class Mammalia; order Primates; family Hominidae; genus Homo; species Homo sapiens. The sequence goes on along the minus strand of NC_000002.12, from coordinate 19,590,066 downwards.
ATTTCAGAGCTTGTAAAGGCCTAGCCATAAATAAAACAAGATTGCATGTGGGGATTTGGAAAATGTAACATTTACGAAGCCACAGATGCAGAGCAGAGGGAACGCAGAGTGAAATATTTAATTACTTCATCACTGAAACTAATTACCAATTGGGGAGTGTTTTCATTTGTGGAACATAGATTGATTAGCAGGATCACCAGAGTTCCAGTCTCCTTACTACTGATTGCATCTTTCATAGAAGAAAAATGGGTTAGTTTTAACAAGCTGGAGTCAAACTAGAGACAAGCAGGGTTACCAAAGAGTGATTGCATGGGATTAGTGTTATTCAATAGGCAAAGAGGTATTGAGTTTGGATTTTTTTTCCTTATAGACTATTAGAGATAAATTTTACATTTGGGATTTACTTTTCCGTAATAGGTAAGGTTGTATTTTTCATTCAGGAAGTTAATTTGTTTGTTCCACAAAAAGTTTCAATCAATGTTATATAATGTTCAGTGACCTGGAACCCTGAGGCTAAGTTTTGTCCCAGATACTGGACATAGATATATTGTTTAAAGACCAAATTTGGAAAATTAGGACCTCTGTAGCAACTTTTTTTTTTAACACAGAAATATTAAAGCTGTGGTCTCATGATGGAGCTCCCTGATCAACAGGAGTCAGGCTCTGATGGAGCAGAACTTTGTGGGGAGACTTTTCTTGGGGGAGTGGAGGTGCTTTGTTTGGCTTCCATATTCCAGGCTTGCTTCTCCTTCTTGGGATAGCTCTGTGTCATACAGGTGTCCAGTTACATCATTCTTTCTTGCCCTTGCCCTTGTCAATTCCACTCTAAAAAAAGATGAATTTAAGTTGATGTGTCCCTGGTCTGTTTTTGAGATAGAAAATAGTTTCAGGACCCAGCTTGCAGGTGGGCTATGGCTCCTGAAATGATGCTGTGTGGGCAGGCACATTCTCCTCGTTGGTGTGGAGGTTCTTGCTGTGGGTGACATTAAGAGGTGGCCTGGCACCTGGCACAGTAGGAAGAATGCTGGGGCAAGGCAGGGACCTGGGTTCTGGTTCTGGCTTTGCCGCCTACTCTCTGTCCTTGGGTACATTTGTTGATCATTTATTTCTCATGGCTTACATATGAAGATCATATAAGATAGGGAATGGGGAGGGTATGGAAAGGCCTAAACTTTGTTCAGATTAAAATGATTATTTTCATTTCATTGGCTATGAAGGTTGATTATTTGGATGCTACAATAATAACTTAGAATATAGCGTATCCTGTTCTAATTTTACTCCATACTGGAATTGTGATTGCTACTTTGAGACAGAGACAAATTCTGAACCCTAGGCTGTGAATTTGTGGAGGAAGGATGACCTTCCTCCGGACCAGTGTACTCTCTTGACGGTTGAGTCTATGGCAAGACTTTTCCAGAGCAGCCAGTGCCCTCTGATATGGTTGATTGGTCTGGTGTTAAGGACAAAACAGTTTTGAAGCCATGTGCCTCTCACCGCTCTTGTCTGTGGTGCAGCTCCCTGCTTTCCTGGCCTCGGGATTTTCCAGAGTGGACAATGGATGACCCCAGGCTGGGCCATGGCTGCCTCATAAAAGGGATGAACTGTGTGTGATATACGTAGTAGAAACACTATTGTCTCAAGGAAGGAATTTAAACCCGAGGGCTTCACACATTACTTAGGTTAAGACTTTCAGGATTGACATAGAAATTGATGGGAATCCAATTCAGGGGCCCCAGAGGCACAGTTTAGGAGGAGCAGACAGGGTGAGGGGATAGACTCCCTCTCTACTCCTTCACTTTGCAACTTTTACCCCACAGCAAGGCAAAGATTTCTGCCTGACATTATAGGCCAATGCTAAAATCAAAATATTTAAAGGAAATGAAGACACAAAACAAATGATAAAAACAAAAAAATTAGAAATTAAAGGCCTAAAGAATCAAGTGAATAAAAGGGGGAAAGTCTTAAATTTAGAAAGACAAGAAACAAAATGATGGAATGCTTCAATGTAAGCATATATATATATATAAAGAAAAGAGATAAAGTGATTAAAATACCTGAAGATAACTGAAAAGTTAAAAAGAAATTTTGGCCAAACAAAAAAGGGAAGTAAACATGTACCAAAAGATTTAGAGAAATAAAACAGTAAAACTGTAGAGCTGAGGAGAAATAAGAGAAAATGGAAATCAGAAAGTAAAAGTTTAGATAGATAGAAGGTTAAATGTGTAAAGAATACTCAAAAGCCAAATAGTACTTTAATGATTGAAAATAAAGTTACCTAGAAATAATGAAAAAGAGGCAAAATATAAACTTTTTTAAAGAGTGCCAAAAAAAAGTGCAAAAAACCCTCCCAAATTTCTACAACTCTACAACAGAGGCAATCAAAAAGATTTCTTTGTAATGGTGAAGTTCCCACAAATTTCAACTGAGTCTTGTGTATTTATCCCTTGGGTATTTGTGATACTTCATAAAGAAGATTCTTAAGTAAGATTCCTAGGGCAGGGGGCATCGGCCCCTCCTCCAATCTTTGAGATAGGAATCTCACATTTTCTTAGGCATCTGTAGTGTGTTATACAAACATAGGTGTGAATTTCAGTGTGAATTTCATAGCATAGTGCCCTCTGAAGCCCATCGGCTGGAAATTCTGGACCAATCTGAGAGTGGGGATTGAGAAACATTGTTCTTAGCCCTTAATTCCAGAAAGGTAAAGACATCTTAATAATGCTGTCAGCTCCTGGAACCTTATCATTTTCCTGTCAGTGGAGCTACACAGTTTACATCTCATTTATTCCTTACAACATTTTGAGATAGGTTCTATTAATATTCCAGTGTTACAAGTGAGGAGATTTATCTAGCCCCGTTAAATCATTTATCTGGAGTTCATCAGCTTGTTAGTGTTGGCACTGAAATCCAACCATTGAAATCCAAAGGCCATGTTCCTTTATTTATTTATTTTTATTTTATTTTATTTATTTATATATTTTTCATGATTTTTCTTTTTTTTTTTTTTTAAATTATACTTTAGGTTCTGGGATACACATGCAGAACGTGCAGGTTTGTTACATAGGTATACACGTGCCATGGTAGTTTGCTGAACCCATCAACCCATCATCTACATTGTGTATTCATCCTAATGCTATCCCTCCCCTAACCCCCTCAACCCAGTAGGCCCCAGTGTTTGATATTCCTCTCTCTGTCTCCATGTGTTCTCATTGTTCAACTCCCACTTATGAGTGAGAACTTGCAGTGTTTGGTTTTCTGTTCCTGTGTTAGTTTGCTGAGAATGATGGTTTCCGGCTTCATTCATATCCCCGCAAAGGACACGAACTCATCCTTTTTATGGCTGCATAGTATTCCATGGTGTATATGTGCCACGTTTTCTTTATCCAGTCTATCATTGATGGGCATTTGGATTGGTTCCAAGTCTTTGTTATTGTGAATAGTGCTGCAATAAACATACGTGTATGTGTGTCTTTATAGTAGAATGACTTATAATCCTTTGGGTATATACCCAGTAATGGGATTGTTGGGTCAAATGGTATTTCTGGTTCTAGATCCCTTAGGAATCCCCAAGCTGTCTTCCACAATGGTTGAACTAATTTATACTCCCACCAACGGTGTAAAAGCATTCCTGTTTTTCCACATCCTCTCCAGCATCTGTTGTTTTTGACTTTTTTTTTTTTGAGATGGAGTCTCACTCTGTCACCCAGGCTGGAGTGCAGTGGCACGATCTTGGCTCACTGCAACCTCCGCCTCCTGGATTCACGCCATTCTCCTGCTTCAGCCTCCCGAGTAGCTGGGACTACAGGTGCACCCCACCACGCCTGGCTAATTTTTTTTTTTTTTTGTATTTTTAGTAGAGACAGGGTTTCACTGTGTTAGCCAGGGTGGTCTCGATCTCCTGACCTTGTGATCCACCCGCCTTGGCTTCCCGCAGTGCTGGTATTACAGGCGTGAGCCACCATGCCCAGCCTGTTTCTGACTTTTTAATGATTACCATTCTAACTGGCGTGAGATGGTATCTCATTGTGGTTTTGATTTGCATTTTGCTAATGACCAGTGATGATGAACTTTTTTTTCCATATGTTTGTTGGCTGCATAAATGTCTCCTTTTGAAAAGTATCTGTTCATATCCTTCGCCCACTTTTTGATGGGTTTTTTTTTTGTTGCAAATTTGTTTAAGTTCCTTGTAGATTCTGGATATGAGCCCTTTGTCACATGTATAGATTGCAAAGATGTTCTCCCATTCAGTAGGTTGCCTGTTCACTCTGATGAAAATTTATTTTGTTGTGCAGAAGCTCTTTAGTTTAGTTAGATCCCATTTGTCAATTTTGGCTTTTGTTGCCATTGCTTTTGGTGTTTAGGTCATGAAGTCTTTGCCCATGCCTATATCCTGAATAGTACTGCCTAGATTTTCTTCTAAGGTTTTTATGGTTTTAGGTCATATGTTTAAGTCTTTAATCCATCTTGAGTTAATTTTTGTATAAGGTGTAAGGAAGTGGTCCAGTTTCAGTTTTCTGCATATTTATTCTCTATTTGTTAATAAATAAATTTATTAAATAGGTAATCCTTTCCCCATTGCTTGTTTTTGTCAGGTTTGTCAAAGATCAGATGGTTGTAGATGTGTGGCATTATTTCTGAGGCCTCTGTTGTGTTCCATTGGTCTTATATCTCTTTTGGTGTCAATGCCATGCTATTTTGGTTACCATAGCCTTTTAATGTAGTTTGAAGTCAGGTAGCATGATGACTTCAGCTTTGTTTTTTTTGCTTAGGATTGTCTTGGCTATATGGGTTCTTTTTTGGTTCCATATGAAATTTAAAGTAGTTTTTTCTAATTCTGTGAAGAAAGTCAATGGTAGCTTGATGGGGATAGCATTGAATCTATAAATTACTTTGGGCAGTATGGACATTTTCATGATATTGGTTCTTCCTATCTACGGGCATGGAATGTTTTTTTCCATTTGTTTGTGTCCTCTCTTATTTCCTTGAGCAGTGGTTTGTAGTTTTCCTTGAAGAGGTCTTTCACATCCCTTGTAAGTTGTATTCCTAGGTATTTTATTCTCATTGTAGCAATTGTGAATGGGAGTTCACTCATGATTTGGCTCTCTGTTTGTCTGTTATTGGTGTATAGGAATGCTTGTGATTTTTGCACATTGATTTTGTATCTTGAGACTTTGCTGAAGTTGCTTATCAGCTTAAGGAGATTTTGGGCTGAGATGATGGGGTTTTCTAAATATACAATCATGTCATCTGCAAACAGAGACAATTTGACTTCCTCTCTTCCTACTTGAATACCCTTTATTTCTTTCTCTTGCCTGATTGCCCTGACTAGAACTTCCAATACTATGTCGAATAGGAGTGGTGAGAGTCTTGTGCCAGTTTTCAAAGGGAATGCTCCCAGCTTTTGCCCATTCAGTATGATATTGGCTGTGGGTTTTCATAAATAGCTCTTCTTATTTTGAGATACATTCCATCAATACCTAGTTTATTGAGAGTTTTTAGCATGAAGGGGTGTTGAATTTTATTGAAGGCCTTTTCTGCATCTATTGAAATAATCATGTGGTTTTTGTCATTGGTTCTGTTTATGTGATGGATTGCATTTATTGATTTGCATATGTTGAACTAGCCTTGCATCCCAGGGAGGAAGCCAATTTGATCATGGTGGATAAGCTTTTTGATGTGCTGCTGGATTCAGTTTGCCAATATTTTATTGAGGATTTTCACATCAATGTTCATCAGGGATATTGGTCTGAAATTTTCTTTTTTTGTTGTGTCTCTGCCAGGTTTTGGTATCAGGATGATGCTGGCCTCATAAAATGAGTTAGGGAGGAGTCCCTCTTTTTCTATCATTTGCAATAGTTTCAGAAGGAATGGTACCAGCTCCTCTTTGTACCTCTGGTAGAATTCAGTTGTGAATCTGTCTGGTTCTGGGCTTTTGTTTAGTTGCTAGGCTATTAATTACTGGTTGAATTTCAGAACTTGTTACTGGTCTATTCAGGGCTTCAACTTTTTCCTGGTTTAGTCTTGGGAGGGTGTATGTGTCCAGGAATTTATCTATTTCTTCTAGATTTTCGAGTTTATTTGCATAGAGATGTTTATAGTATTCTCTGATAGTAGTTTGTATTTCTGTGGGATCAGTGGTGATATCCCCTTTATCATTTTTTATTGTGTCTATTTGATTCTTCTCTCTTTTCTTCTTTATTAGTCTGGCTAGCGGTCTATCTATTCTGTTAATCTTTTCCTAAAACCAGCTGCTGGATTCATTGATTTTTTGAAGGGTTTTTCATGTCTCTATCTTTCTCAGTTCTGCTTTGATCTTAGTTATTTCTTGTCTACTGCTAGCTTTTGAATTTGTTTGTTCTTGCTTCTCTAGTTCTTTTAATTGTGATGTTAGGGTGTTGATTTTAGATCTTTCTTACTTTCTCCTGTGGGCAATTGGTGCTATAAATTTCCCTCCAAACACTGCTTTAGCTGTGTCCCAGAGATCCTTGTGCATTGTGTCTTTGTTTTCATTGGTTTCAAAGAACTTACTTATTTCTGCCTTAATTTTGTTATTTACCCAGTACTCATTCAGGAGCAGGTTGTTCAGTTTCCATGTAGTTGTGCAATTTTGAGTGCATTTCTTAATCCTGAGTTCTAATTTGATTGCACTGTAGTCTGAGAGACTGTTCTGATTTCCATTCTTTTGCATTTGCTGAGGAGTGTTTTACTTCCAATTATGTGGTCAGTTTTAGAATAACTGCCATGTGGTGCTAAGAAGAATGTATATTCTGTTGATTTGGGGTGGAGAGTTCTGTAGGTGTCTATTCAGTCTGCTTGGTCCAGAGCTGAGTTCAAGTCCTGAATATGCTTGTTAAGTTTTTGTCTCATTGATCTGTCTAATATTGACAGTAGGGTGTTAAAGTCTCACACTATTATTGTGTCAGAGTCTAAGTCTCTTTGTAGGTCTCTAAGAACTTGCTTTATGAATCTGGGTGCTCCTGTATTGGGTGCATATATATTTAGGATAGTTAGCTCTTCTTGTTGCATTGATCCGTTTACCATTATGTAATGCGCCTCTTTGTCTTTTTTGGTCTTTGTTGGTTTAAAGTCTGTTTTATCAGAGACTAGGATCGCAACCCCTGCTTTGTTTTGCTTTCTATTCGTTTGGTAAATATCCCTCCATCCCTTTATTTTGAACCTATGTGTGTCTTTGCACGTGAGAAGGGTCTCCTGATTATAGCACATCTGTGGGTCTTGACTCTTTATCCAATTTGCCAGTCTGTGTGTTTTAATTGGGGCATTTAGCCCATTTATGTTTAAGGTTAATATTGTTGTGTGTGAATTTGATCCAGTCATTATGATGCTAGCTGGTTAGTCTGCCCATTAGTTGCAGTTTCTTTGTAGCGTCTATGGTCTTTAGAATTTGGTGTGTTTTTGCAGTGGCTGGTACTGGTTGTTCCTTTCCATATTTGGTGCTTCCTTCAGGAGCTCTTGTAAGGCAGGCTTGGTGGTAACAAAATCTCTCAGCATTTCCTTGTCTGTAAAGGATTTTATTTCTCCTTTGCTTATGAAGCTTAGTTTGGCTGGATATGAAATTCTGGGTTGAAAATTCTTTTCTTTAAGAATGTCGAATATTGGCCCCCACTCTCTTCTGGCTTGTAGGGTTTCTGCAGAGAGATCTGCTGTTAGTCTGATGGGCTTCCCTTTGTGGGTAACCTGGCCTTTCTCTCTGGCTGCCCTTAACATTTTTTCCTTCATTTCAACCTTGGTGAATCTGACAATTACTTTTCTTGGGGTTGCTCTTCTTGAGGAGTACCTTTGTGGTGTTCTCTGTATTTCCTGAATTTGAATGTTGGCCTTTCTTGCTAGGCTGGAGAAGTTCTCTTGGCTAATATCCTGAAGAGTGTTTTCCAGCTTGATTCCATTCTGCCTGTCACTTTCACGTACACCAATCACACATAGGTATGATCTTTTCATATAGTCCCATATTTCTTGGATGCTTTGTTTGTTCCTTTTCATTCTTTTTTCTCTAATCTTGTCTTCACACTTTATTTTGTTCAGTTGATCTTCAATCTCTGATATCCTTTCTTCTGCTTGATCAGTTTGGCTACTGATACTTGTGTATGCTTCACAAAGTTCTCGTTCTGTGCTTTTTAGCTCCATCAGATGTTCTGTCTCCATCAGTCTGTTCTTCTGTATACTGGTAAGTTAGCCATTCATCTAACCTTTTCTCAAGGTTTTTAGCTTCCTTGCGATGGGTTAGAACATGCTCCTTTAGCTTGGAGGAGTTTGTTATTACCCACCTTCTGAAGCCTACTTCTGTCAACTCGTCAAACTCATTCTCTGTCCAGTTTTGTTCTCTTGCTGGTGAGGAGTTGTGATCCTTTGTAGGAGAAGAGGCATTCTGGTTTTTGCAATTTTCAGCCTTTTTGTGCTGGTTTTTCCTCATCTTTGCAGATTTATCTACCTTTGGTCTTTGAAGTCGCTGACCTTCAGATGGGGTCTCTGAGTGGACGTCCCTTTTATTGTTGATGCTACTCCTTTCTGTTTGTTATTTTTCCTTCTAACAGTCAGGCCCCTCTTCTGCAGGTCTGCTGGAGTTTGCTGGAAGTCCACTGCAGACCCTGTTTGCCTGGGTATCACCAGCAGAGGCTGCCATGTTCTTTTTTTTTTCTTTTGAGACAGAATCTCTCTCTGTCGCCCAGGCTGGAGTGCAGTGGCGCGATCTTGGCTCACTGCAAGATCCGGCTCCCAGGTTCCCCCCATTCTCCTGCCTCAGCCTCCTGAGTAGCTGGGACTACAAGTGACCGCAACCACGCCTGGCTAACTTTTTGCATTTTTAGTAGAGACAGGGTTTCACTGTGTTAGCCAGGATGGTCTTGATCTCCTGACCTCATGATCTGCCCGCCTCAGCCTCCCAAAGTGCTGGAATTACAGGCATGAGACACCACGCCTGGCCAGCTGCCATGTTCTTGACCCTTCCTCCTCCTGCATTCCATCTGTCTGTGCTGCCATAGGGGCCCTGCATCTGCCCTGGTCCCAGACGGCAGAGTGAGACTGCTTTCTTTGAAAGCAGTAGTTTGTGTTGACTTTTCACTTTAATGACTGGCTGTGACTGGACAGTAACACGTGCACTTGTCAAAGGCTACTGCACCACATCAGCAGGTGATGACATGTTGACAAGCTTGCCAAATGCCCATTGCATTTGCTGGTCAGGGAGGGTTGGGGGGCTGAACTACAAACTCCAGGAGGGCAGGGGGCATGCTTTTCCTGATTTCTCTCTGGCTCACCTGAAGCTTGTCCCCTCACAGAGCCAGGCTTTCAATAAATAAAAAGATGACTTGATCCTGCATTTACTAATTAGATCAAAGGCAGAAACTAGACATTTTTAGTGACATAAAGATGGTGTCAATCACATTTCCTTCTTTTCTTCATTAACCTGCTTCTTGGAGAGTTCTGGTGTGCAGTCCACTGTGGGACTTCTGCATGTCCTGGGTGAGGGGGACAGTGAGGCCAGTTCTGATTAGAGGTCACATCTACAGAACAAAGGGACAGGGGACACCACTCTGCTGTGCAGTGTGGAAGAATCCGAATGGCACTGCTGCTTAGAAATCTTCCTGCCTCCTGAACATCCTACCACTAGGATCACTCCTTTAGTTAAGTTCCTGTTTCTAGGAAACTGCTACTAGTAAGCAAACATGTTATCAGGAAGGAAACACATGATCTTACCAGAAGCCTCTGACACTCTGACACTTAACTACTGGGTAATTGGTGAGACAGAAGACAGGACCCTGACTGTTGAGAAGTAAAGTGGGAAAATGGGGGTGGAAGCTGGGGAGAAAAGGTCTTGAGGCTGGAGATCCTGGGATGGTGGAGGAAGGACGAGTCCACCATTCTCTCTCTGCTATAGGGGCTGGCTTAGGTGACACCATCTCCTGGAGGACAGTGGGGCTATGTTTTGTTTACCTCTGTATTCTTCCAGCAACTGGTTCAGAGCCTGACAAGGAGCTCCATAAATTGAGTGGGCATCCTGGTTGCAGAATGAACAAACAGATAGGCTTTTGCCTTGATTCTCTCATTATAAGGAGTAAACATGAAAGAATCACCAGAAGAGATGGATCAAAAAGGAGAAAGCAAAGCAAGAGTTTACTGAGCACAAAGCCAATGTGCAGTGCTGTGTCAGGCTGGCAGAGGACATAGACATGAAGGGAGCCCCACTCCTCCCTTTGGGAGCTTCCTGGGCAGCGGAGAGACATGTTACCTCGTAAACAAAGTACACAGTTTAAAAATATGTTTTTTTTTTAACCTCACCAGTAATGTGACAAATAGATATCATATGCTTCCTGATAAAATGCACAGAGAAGGACGCATCATCACTTCTGTGGTATGCTGGCTAAAAATGCACAACCTGGACCTAATCAGAACACATCAGAGAAGCCCAAACCCAGTTGTCTTCAAAAATGTCAAGGTCATGCAATGTGTGATCCTGGATAAGATCCAGGAAAAAAAAGTTCTAAAAAAAACCAAACCCACAAAACTTTTGCTATCCAGGATGCTGGTGAGATATTTTGCAAAATGTGGCTATAATCTGTAGACTAGACAATAGTACTGTATCAAGGTTAATTTCTGATTTTAATAATTATACTGTGGTCGTGCAAGAGAATGTCCTTGTTTTAGGAAATATACAGAGATATTTAGACATTAAGGGGCATCATGTCTGCAACTCTCAAAGGATTCAGAAAAATGTAAATATGCGTGTTTGTCTAGAGAAAGAGAGAATGATAAAGTAAATGTGCTAAAGTATTAACATTTGGAGAATCTAGGAAAAATTATATAAAAATTCTTTGTATTATTTTTGTAAATTTTTTTGTAAGTATGATAAAGATATTGAAATACATGTGTATATGTATATATTCCTGCATGGATGAGAAGCAATATAGCACAGTGGTGAGGCACGCAGGCCTTGGAGCCAGACTTCCTAGGTTCAAATCCTGGCTGGACCACTTGGGAACTGTGTTACTTTTTACTTAAGCTCTCTGAGCCTGAATGATGTTGGATGATACTGGTGCATACACTGGCTGCTTGTAAAAATTAAATGAGTTAAAGCCTGTGACAAGCTTAAAAAAGTGCAAACATGTGGCAAGTATGCAATACATGCCAGCTCTTATTACACAATATAGAGCCTTTGATAATTATTAACAATCATTTAGTTATAAGACATATGGTATATACATATTTGTTGACCTACTGTGCTATCTTTTCAAATAATTTACATATTTAATTTTACAACCTTCACTTAAAGTATAATAGCAAGAAATATCTTCTCCATTATATAGATGTGTAAACTAAGGCCAAGAAAGTTTATGAAACTTACCTAAGAACCCCCATAGCTGATAATTGGCACAACTTGGAGCTGATTTCAGGTGTCCTGACAATTAATCTGAGAGGCCATTCTTCTCTGCAGGTGTGGCCAATATCACTGTTCTCATTTGCCATCTTTTAAACTCTGAGTGAGAAATGTCCTGGGAGAAAGTGGCTTCAAGGGGCCTTCCATCACGCATGTTGTTATCTGCTTATCCATTGTCAAAAGCTGCAGTTATGGCGAGGGAGGGCGAAGGGAGCATGGATTCTCCCAGTGATTACTGACTGGTTCCTTGAATCAGATCCAGAAAGAATTGGTTAGTCCCTGATTCTGAGGATGAAAAGCATCCCTGGCAGGGAAACTCTAAGGCTGCCTTCTGAGGAGCCTTAGAATACAACATCAGGGCATCTTTATAGAAATGTTATATGCTCTATGTCACAGTACATGATTGTACAAATTATAGTAAACACGTAGGCATTCTGGAAACTGTGGATTCTGTTTGGAAGGAGGCTTAAAGTCCCCTTAGACTTAAATAACCATCTTTCAAAACAACAACAACAAAAGCAGAAAGCAACAAGAGTTTTCTGAGAAACAGCTTTCATCTGGACTTCAGAAGGCCAAGAAACTGGATTCCTGCCTCCCTGGGTCTCATGATCTTCAGTGGGGCCTCGACCAGACAGATGTTATTACTATAAACCAATCTCTGGCAACCTCAGATGGAAAGGGAAGCACCTCTCAATTTGTCAGGGGTAATAACTTCCCTGCATTTACTTACTGCTTTATAATTTGCACAGCTTTCTATTAGACATTTCCATTGATTCGCTCAACAAGTATGTTTGCTGGGTGGGGGAGAGGCTGTGATTCCTCTTGAATAGATGACAAAACCACGGGCTAGTAGAGGCTAAACAAATAATTCATGAGCCAGTATTAGAAGGTGGGATCCCTGAGTCTGGAACCAATGCTACTTACTGACATGGTCTCTTTAGTCCTTACTTTCCTATTTTGGAGGTTATTTTATTTTATTTTGACATTGCTACTTATGCATTATCCATATGTTTATTTACCAGTATTTATTCATTCCAGCCTGCATCATCCTGCCATCCTTTCAGGCATTTTTGGGTTATCTCATCAGTTTTAAGTCTGGAAGCGCTCAGAGGATGTGGAAAACCTCAACTAGTTGCTTAAAAAGAAGGAAAATTGTGAGAATAAATCTGCTGCCAATATGATCACAAAATGCATGATAAACCAACAGAAATGGTTCTGAAGGTTAACTCTTAGTTTAAGTTTTCTGGAGTAAAGTCATCTCCATCTGCATGACTAATTGAGAGCTGGAAATGTTTTCGTTTGTTCAATCATGGTGAGCATCAACTATGGTCCAGATGCTAAGTTCTTCCTTCTTTCCTCATCTAGGTGAGAGGCTGCATGTTTTTAAGCCCAGCAGTCTTAGTTATGGAGGTTATAGACTTGAATTCTAGCCCTTTTGTCACCAAGACCTTTTAACATCTGTGTTGCAGTGGGACCAATCTAATACTTGCACCTCCTACCTTACTGTGACAAGAAAATAAAATGTTGTCAAAAGCCTTTTGCAGATTTCAGAGTGTTCCTCAAATGTAAGATGGTATTTCAGTAATGATAATGCCAAAGATAATGAAAATTGCTTGTGGGAATTGCTACTTCTCTCATGCTTCCTAAGTTTTGCATAGATGAGAAGAATACGTGCAATGAATAGAATAGTAAATGTCATTTATATAACTATGTGAAGGAATGAATTGAACAGAACTGTAAATTACCTTTTCATAGTATTTCTATTGAATCAAAAAGTTTACTAGCATAAACATTTCCTTAGCAGGTACTAAAATTAAAGGCCTTTATATAGAAAGCCTTTCACTTCTATCCATCCTTTAAAACTTGGCTCAGCTGTCACCTTCTCCAGGGAGCCTTCTGGGACTCACTCCTCCTTCTTAAGCTGGCTGGATAAAATGGCCTTTCTCTGCTGCTATAATATGTGGGCTTATTTCTACTTCTTGTCTGATGTTGTAATTACCTGCGTGTGTGCTCTCTCACCCTCTAGATTGTCTTATTCATCATTGCATCCTGAATGTCCAGTGCAATTCCTGGCGTGTTATTTTTGCCTTAGGAAATGTTTCCTGAATGCATGGCCAAACATTTACCAGTTCAAACAAGGCTTGGCTTGTAAACACAATGGAGAATGAGGTCAAGGAAATGTGGTTCACTTTTGCCATAAAGTGCTTACATATTGCACTCTCTACCACGGTGCTTCATGATTTTTTCAACCTCTTATGTGATTATCCCCCCAAAAAACCCCATGGGCTAGAAAAAGCTATAATGACTTTAGTAGTTTGAATGGTTTAATATTTTCTTAAATCAAGTGTGGCTTATTTTCATCGTAAGAAAAAAAGACAGGAAGAATCAGAAGATGTAAGGCAGGAAGAATCAGAAGATGGTCCCTTCCCCCAGAAAGTTTTCAAAAATCCTGCCTGGCCTTTGGGAGTTCCCATGAGAGTATGGAACATAAGGAATCACTATGATATAGGCATATTTGAACATTTTTAAAAAGATTAAACATGATATAGTACTGGAACTGAGCATGGGAGATTGAAGTCCTGGATTTTATGCTTTCCCTTGCTACAGGGGATGGAAAGAATATTGTTTCTCCTTAAAATGATTTATTTAAATGGGTAGGTTAGAATTCTACTTAAAACCTAGTGTCTGAATGCACCTGTTTAAGTCAGCTTCTTGTTCTCCCAGGTATTTAGGCATTGAATTTTCCCCATTAGGAGAGTGATTGACACTGTGGCCCTTACAATAACACATGATTATAACTCTGCAAATGGCAATTACATTCAATGGAAACCAGATGTTGCATGGAATTTGACTCTCTTGGTTTCTTGGTGAAGTAGATGAATTTGTAAAGTAGAAAACCACAATCATTACTCAGATGGACTGTACATGAATTAATGACATAATATCTAAATCATATATGGCTGAAAATAATGATTAACTTAAACTATCAAGATAAGCTAATGAAAAACAGACTCTTAAAAAATTAAAGATGTGTTTTCTTCAATACATATTTTATCCATGTACTAATAACAAAACCAGACTTATTTTTATGTCTCTTCAGTCTCAAGGAAGAAAAAAATATTTAAAAAGAAGCTCTTTTCGGCAGTTAACATTAGGGAGAAAGTGAACAACTATGATAGTTTTTCTTGGCTCGTGAATTTTTGGAGCGTCTGAAATCAATCTTTTAAAATTATATTGTTGTTAAGGACAGCCAGCAGTGTTTTATGCTGAATGACACAGAGACAGTATATTTTTAAGGACACATTTGGCATGCAAAATATCAGCTTGATATGCCTGCATAATGCATAACCTCTCAAATACAAGTTCTTTTCCTCTCCCCATGTCTCTCCAGAGCCTGTGCGCAAATGTGTGTGCACACACATGCATACACACACACACACACACAGACACTATGACTGCTCAGGTCAGGAAGGCAAATCAGTGTTCCACACAAATCCACACTGTCCCTTGAAAAGCTCAGCCTTTAGTTAGCAACCTCCTGAGTGGTTAAGTTTGCAAACCTTGGCCCATCATTTCCACTGTCATGAATTCTCAATGACATCATCACTGTAAAATTAGGAACTCTCTTTCTTTTCCTGCAGATGTGAAACTTTGACATTGCATTCCATGGGCCCGTGCCACATTTCATCAGCGTTTTTCCTTTGCTTTCTCCAAAGCCTGTGGCCGCATGTGGCGCATAGATTGCCAGTGCTATTTGGGATCTCATATCAAATGCTGCTACCTAATCCCAGGCGGCCTTCCACAGCCCACACCTGCAGCTCATTGAATCCTCCTGGAGTACAAAGGGCTGATTTACAGCATGAAGGATCCAGGCACTGGTTGCAGCTGGGGCTCCAGCAGGAAAAGGAAGTTGTTCATCATCTTGTGTGCATTTCATTAACAATAGTGTACCCGATATGTGGCTTATAGAATAATTTCAAATCACTGACAGAGAGCATTATGGCATTTGGCACTACTAGGAAAAATACTTCAGGATGGGCAAATTAAACCTGAGCGTGAGGTTTCTATGCGACCCTCTGGAACGGTGTGCGCTGATTTACACGAGGTGGGTTGACCTTGTGATATTTTCTGATTCCTTGGGCATTTTCCCATTTCTCATTTCTTTCCTTTTGTCTTTGAAGCAGCCCTGGGGTAGAATCAGAATATCCTTAGCTTTCTGTTCTTTTCATGTATTAACAACCAAGAGCTCAGAGTAACCTGTGCTAAGCATGCTGTTTAGAAACTAACCACTTGAGGAAATGGCTGTGTAGCTGGTGAGATGGGAGCTCCACAGCTGAATGTGACAAAGAGTGTGTCCCTTTCTCCTTTGAGTTTTCATGGCTGTACCTGTGAGTGAGTCCCAGTCAGACACCGAGATCCCAGGGCTGGCTCACCAGCACTCTGGGAAATTAAAAAATGGGAAAGACTCATACTTCATTCTATTGCCATGCCTGGATTTGCAACTATTTCATTATTGAGTTGCTTTTATGCAAGAAAATCCCTCATGGAAATGTCATGAGGGTGATGATGATGAATGAAGATGAAGGAGGAGACAAGGAAGTGAGTGACAGGCCTGAGAGAGACTGTCTCATGGTTTCCAGGGCCCTTAGGCAGCCTCTGGGTCCCTCTCCTCTGTGGTCACAGTGTGAGCCGCCAGATGGGGCATACCACCTATTTACAAAGAAGGCTCCAATTGCTCAGCCTTCCCAGATTCTTCCTAGGGGGACACTGTGGGTCCCAAATGAAGAATCTTTGAGGGCAGTGGAAAGCCTTAGCTTACCTCCAAACAAAAATGCTCCTGGAGCTATGGCTGTCTCTGGGTTTGGGTCCAAACCCTACATAGGAAGAATGGGCAGCAAAGTGCAGAATTAAAAGGGAAATAGCTCTGATGAGTTTATCATGGCCATTTTAACTTCAACTGTTTTCTAAAGGACAAAATCAATAAAAATCACCATTCTCAAGGGAGAGGGAGCAGGGGAGGAAAAACAAATTTCTTTTCACTTTGTAATGATAAACAAACTCAGCTAGGAGCAGTATCTGATGTGGCGGTGCGGAGTCTGGTCTCCAGTTTCTATTGATGTGTCAAATGTATCCCTTATGTGAATCATGGTTTAAAAATACTTCTACTCAGTGGGTTTGGGAAATCAATAAGCTTTTATGATTCTTTCCTTGCTTCACATAATTTCTAATTTCAAAAGAAACTCTGGATATTCCTTTAAGATGTTTATATATTATGCATTTTAAAAACTAACAATTCTCTCAAGGGTTTCCCAAGCATTGTTGTTGGAGTGTTTTTTCTTCCCAAGCATTTTTTTCTTTCCTTTTTTTTTCTTTAACATAATGCTAATGATTACGAGGCTTACATATAAATTGAAGCCGTATTCATAAAATGCAATATAAAAATCCTGGGAAGGAAGATAAATATAACAAGCTATGAAACTGTGCTAGCCTCTTTCAACGTTGGAATGACTACAAACGAGGACATTAATGATCAGGATGTGTGACATTTCCCAGGTTAGGGTCTCTGGCTCCCAGGCAAACTGCCTTAAGATGAGCTGTCCTGCATTTCTTGATTTCTCTGAAATACAAATCTAATTGCAGGTTGGAACATATCCTTTTGCTTAGTCTGTAAAAATAATTTCCCTGAATATTTACCCAAAGCGCATTATTGCTTATACAGTTGTGAAAAGCATTTAGCACTTTATAATCCTATATTTGCTCCTATGTGGGCCTGGGAGTGTACTCTCCTTACAAAATTCACAAATGCCTAGAAGGCTAACAATTTTTACAAAGTGTTCCTCATGGAAAACATCTGGAAGTTTTCCAGAATGGCATTCCAGATGTTATAGTTTTAGCAGTCACAAAAGCGCACCGCACACTGTGTGTGTGTGTGTGTGTGTGCGCGCGCGCGCGCGTGTGTGCTCATGCGTGTGTGTTTTTGCTGGTTCTACACAGTATGTTACTTATATATCCCCAGCTCTCTTTGCTCTACCTCTGGAACATTTTAAGTTTGAATTGTTTAATATTTCACTTCTGGACAACTCTGCTTTCAGGGCAATTTCACATCTGTAAGGAGGGTAGTATGATGTAGACTACTGTAACCAAATATGCACTCTGAGAAGGGAGTTTTAATTGCTATTTTTAAATTGATTTTTTTCACTGTTGGATCAGAAAGAATAAACATTAAGAGAGAGAGAGAGAGAGAGAGAGCCCTGGATACGTCATCTGCATCAAGAGAGAATCGCCTGCCTTCCCTTTCCCAGATTACACTTAATAGAGAGGAGACAGTACCCCCATGTGCCATAGCTACGGAGTGCTGGGTAGAGAGCGAGGGACAGAGGCACAGGACTTCAGTAGACAGGACATAGGATGTCCTTTCCAACTGCTAAATGCTGCTCAACTGGCGAGAAACTCAGGAAAGCACAAGATCCAAGTCACTGCTCCTGCATCTTTCCCCTACCCATTCTCCTTCCCTCCCACCTTCTAGATAGGGGCTCCTTCTATAGCAGCAGCCTTAGGAAGATATGACAGCGCACAGAAAGAAGAGACTAGACTCTGTTTGCAGAACCAGCTCCTCGTGGGTCCTGCCTAATGACAGGTCTCCTTCTCAGGACTAGGGGAGAAGTCAGGGATGAGGAGAAAGAGGAATAAAAGGGGAGACCTGGACATGGGCCAGAATCGAAAGGCGTCCCTGGGGTTCAGGGAGCCATGGGGTTTTAACAGCAGTGAGCTGCTTTCATCACATGGTGGGGGGACAGATGAACAGGGACCCATTTCCTTAGCAAACTAACCAGACATAATGAGAAGCTCCCCTGAACTAAAGTATTTGTTGAGCATCACATTGAACCAAACTTGTTTTGTATTACAGGTTCCTTTTGGGGGAGTGGGGAGAGCATAGTGGCAAGGAAAAAAGCCCAGCAAATGATGGGCAGGTAGTGAGGATGACGGGTTCAGGCAGCTGAAGCAGAAGAGAGGCAGGGCATCCTGGGAGGTGGTACAGGGAAGGTTTGTAGGAGGGGTGCACTTGCGGAGTGCCAGCCGGAGGAGGTCAGGCTTGCTGTCATGGGCATTTGAAAAAGAGTGACACGAGGGACTTGGTCTTTGAGGAAAAGTTTTATAAAACAAGGGGTTGATGGGAGCTGGAGAGAGCAGTCCTCTTTGAGTCTCACTCAGCTCAGCCTACATTCCCTGAGTAGGATGAAGGGTCTGCAGTGTGTGGTGCCTGCTGTGCTCTCTGGGAACTCAAAAGCTTCCCTGGAAGCCTCCTCAACTCTTTCAAGGGCCCTAGTTTGGCTTTGGGAAAGTCAGAATCAGGGCCTCTTCAAAGGAAGAGGTTGTAGTGCCCTAAAATGCTGTCCTAGGAATTGCCCCAAACCTCGGCTTCCACTGCCTCGAATCAGCCAATGCTGGGACCGGATCTCCCACCAGCCCTTGGCCTCTGGTTCCTACAGTCACCTGGACTCATTGCTAGAAAGAAGCTGCTCCCCTAGGCTGAGGCAGGAGAATCGCTTGAACTCCAGAGGCAGAGGTTGCAGTGAGCTGAGATTGCACCACTGTATTCAAGCCGGGGCAACAAAGTGAGACTGTCTCAAAAAAAAAAAAAAAAAAAAAAAAAGAAGAAGAAGAAGCTGCTCCTTTGACTGTCCTGCTTCCCTGGGAAACTCTTCAGTGTTGTGGGGCAAACCAGAACAGCTGGTCTCCCTAGCTGAATCTCTTCCCTGGCTTTATCTCCATCCACCTTAGAGAGGTGGTAGGAATCTTCCCACCACTTTCCAGGGCTGCCGTTGAACCTGTTTAGAGCTGGCTTCTGGTTGGCCCTGACACCTTGAAGTCCTAAGACACTGCTGTGAGATTATAACAACAGTGGAGTCTTCTATGGATGCTTGCTCCTTCAGGGGATACCAAAGAAGTGCCTCCAAGCCTGATCCCTCTCTTGAATTCCTCAGCCTTGTTTTCTAGCATACAGATGGGGTGGTTACTGGCAACCTGCTCGGAGAAGCCAGGAGAGCAGTGTGGCACAATGGAAAGAACACAGCACCAGGGCTGAGATGGCTTCCATCTGGATTCGTTACCATCTACGATTTCCCCTGTGGGAGTTATTTAACCTCTTCACGTCTCAGTTTCCTCATCAGTGACATGAGGATCGTGATTCTTGCCTCTCAGACTTATTGTTTTGAAAAGTTTGGTGCCGCATTTGGCAATATTTTACTTGTTTAACAAAAGTTTAGACTGGGCATGGTGGCTTAAGCCTGTAATTCCAGTACTTTGGGAGGCCGAGGCGGGCGAGTCACGATGTCAAGTGATTGAGACCATCCTGGCTAACATGGCGAAACCCTGTCTCTACTAAAAATACAAAAAAATCAGCTGGGTGTGGTGGTGCACAACTGTAGTCCCAGCTACTTGGGAGGCTGAGGCAGGAGGATTGCTTGAACCTGAGAGGCGGAGGTTGCAGTGAGCCAAGATTGCGCCACTGTATTCCACCCTGGCGACCGAGTGAGACTCTGTCTCAAACAACAACAAAAATGTTTGTTTCTTCTCTGCCTCAGGGGACATGCAGAGTCCTCATTCCAGGTAAAATAAATGTCCGTCATCCAGCATAAGGGAGGAAGTGGCCTATGACATTGACCCCCAATGGCTGTTTGCACCGTGGCTCGTCTTCCTCCCTGGGTTTCTGCTCTGCTGTGCCTCTAATCCTTTGCAATGCAGCCTGTTCAGCTTTAAATGGCCCCTCATTATCCATCCTTTAACACCCAGCCTGACTTTACCATTTTTGCTCAGGCAAAATGAAAACTATAGTATGTCATATGTTCATCTGTTGTAGCACTTAACACCTTGTGTAATTGTTTTTGTTATTGTTTTGTTATCCCTGTAACTTCTGCAACTGGGAGCTGGCATGCTTGGAATGTCTCAGAGCAAGGGATATCCAGTGGAACAAATGAGCAGCACCGCAGTAACAGATGACTGAATACTCATGAAAAGGCTATCCTGGCCAGAGAGCCACAAATTGGGTCACTGTAAGGTCTCCCAGGAGAGAATCACAGGGACTCTGGAGTGGATACTCCAGTTCCTCAGTGAAGAGCTTGGAGACAGACTGGCTGTTGCCTCAAAAGAAGCTCTAAGTGGTAAGAAGTCCTCTCTTGGAAGAGCTGTAGAGTGAACTTTCCAGCTACAGAATCCTGTTTACTCAATGACTCAAAAGCTCTGTTTAGAATAGGCGTTTGACTGACAATAAAGATAAACTGAGAATGTTGAATTGTATGTAAATAAGTGGATATTACTTTGAAGCAAGGTTTAAGGAACTGTGACTACCTCTTTTGTGTCGATTTCATTTCCTTTAGGTAGTTTTAAGAACTGTAATGACAAAATTCAGTCGTCTTGCATTTTTTTCTAAATTAAAAAGACTGGAGTTCAAATATGACAGCCAAACCAATCTGTGACACAACAGATGAAGATGTGGCTGATACGCAAATAGCGCCAGAGACTTCAGCCACTGGTTTAGCTATATCCGTTCAGATTGTAGGTGATATAGAGGGTATGATGGAACTTCAAGGGTTTTTTTTACTTTGAACTTTGCTCATCTGGTCATGCCAGGAACCCTCCTGCACTACGCACTGAACAGCTAGAGTAGTACGTGGAGTTTGAAACCATCACTGCCCAGCACTGACCAGTGGAAAGCTCAGCTCTCCAACATGTCAACCCTCAATGGCCCTTGATCAAAAGATGGATCCTGATCAAGAAATGCTGGAATTGGCCAGGGCTGACCTTCTGCTACATCTAGAATGTAGCCCAGAACTTATAACATCAGACTGGAGTTTGTTGTGATCTGAGAACATACGTATATTAGATGGCAGTTTGAGACATTTGGTAAAGTCTAAGTATTCTATAGTAAATTCTTAACCTCTAAGTTTAAGGATGGGTAGGTATTTCCAAATTATACTGCTTACAAAAAGAGGGGAATGTATAAATTTATAGGAAATAATTTTTGAGATACTCTAGTAGGTCACTTTTATTTATATATCAACTCCCCAGAGCTTATTGTGTGTGTGTGTGTGTGCGCATGTGTGTGCATATATGCATATATAGTATACATATGTGCACACATACATAAGCCGATATTCAAGGGACAAATTTTAAGGTTGATATTCAATGGATAACTTTTTAATGCTGTGATATTAATTTCCAAGACTGAGTCAATAGCTTCGGAATAGTTTTATTTCTTTTCTTTTCCAAGAGCTTGATATTCTGCATGACATGTGTTTAAACCAAATTCTCTATTATTTTATGCTTTCCTTGAGCAGTTTGTCAATTGCCATGGCTTTGACTTTCACGTTTATGTCTGGCATGCTCTAAGAGTAGGGCATAAAGCTCTGGGCTCGTTGTGTGGTTTATAAAATTATAGACTCCTATAGGCTTCCCTTCCAGTGAGGGAAATGCAGTGTGCATCTAGAGGTCAGTTGGGACATTTGTGCTCCTTGAGATCTAGACTTGATATAAACCCCCACTCCCATTTTGGGAAGTCTAGCTTGTGGAAGCCCAAATACTTCTCCCACTTTTCTATGAACTCCCATGAACATTTAAAAAAATAAATTCATGGCCTATTCTCTGCTTTCTGGACTTCTGCTTCCTTATACGAAGACAGATCAGTATTTTTGGTAAGTGATTAAGGTGATTCTTACGCTGGTGTCTGTAGCCCACACCTTTGTAAACACTAATGTGGGGTAGCTCAATTTGGTTTATGGCCTCCTCCCCAATATACGTATCCAACACTGTTCAACAGAGCCAAAGAGACTTCAGTTCGACATAACTTTCCTCCTATAAAACTCAGTTGTGGTGGATGACCCCCTTTTATTATATTTACAAGACAAAGCAGTGTAGGAATAGTACGAAAGACATCTTAAAGTCAAGTCAATGTAAGAGTTCAGAGGACAGAGAAACTGTTGTGTGCCAAGAAGTGCATGTAAAGAGGCTGGAAAGACTTCCCAAGAGGTGGTGAAACTAAATTTTAAGGAACACTCGGAAGCCAACTTAAAGGAGAAAAAAAAAAAAAGGAAAAAGGACTGCTTACCTGTAGGGTGAATAGTATGAGCAAGAGCTTGGGAGGTGGGCTTGGGGACAGCAAGAGTGGGATGTAGTTGAGGACCCCAAGAAAGTGAGCCCAGACTGGGATTCAGTGGGGAGCCCTGGGTACCAGGAGGAAAAATAGTTACCTTGCCATCACCTCGGAAAAATTCATAAAACCTCTTTTTGAATTAGTGCCCCTGCCTTTATGGACACATAACAGGTTTATTAGATGACTCCTCAGGGAGGATCCTTTCCTGCTTAGTTGACCCACAGTACCTGATGTTCTGCTAGGAAATCTGTGATACCTATTGGTGGACATGTTCTGCCTATTCCCTGGGGTTTTCCTTTCTTTTAAGGCTTCTGAAAAGACTGCCTACCTTTCTTTTCTTTCTTTTTCTTTTTTTTAACCTCAGCTCTCCCTCACCTCTACCTTCCCACTCCCAGGCTTTGCGAGGCTGCGATTCCCTGTCTCGCCTCTCTCTAGTTTTGTTCCTCATGAGCCTTGATTAGAGGTGAACCCACAGAGCAGTCCCCTCGGGCAGCTGTCTTTGCCTCCACTCTTCCCCGAATGGAGGCATCTGGTTCTCATTCTCTTTTCAATGCATTCGTCTCCACTTTCCCCTTGCTCTGTTTACGTATATATTATACTGCCTGTTTGAAACTAGGAGCTTCTAACCAGTTTTGTCCCCATTACCCCATAATTAAAGTGGCATCCAAAGGAAATCTGAAGAGAGTTGGAGAGGCTGAGGAGAGCTTGGGTATGAATCAAGCGTTAACAAGAGTAGCATTTCTGAAGCCAAGGTAATGTGAGCATGTCAGACCTTGTATTAGTCTGTTCTCATGCTGCTAATAAAGACATACCCGATTAACCCGAATTTTTTAAACTAAAAATTTCCTAAGGCCAAGTCAATATTTCTTTTTTTTAACATTATTATACTTTAAGTTCTGGGATACATGTGCAGAATGTTCAGATTTGTTACATAGGTATACACGTGCCATGGTGGTTTGCTGCACCCATCAACCCGTCATCTACATTAGATATTTCTTCTAATGCTCTCCCTTCCATAGCCCCCCACCCCCTGACAGGCCCCAGTGTGTGATGTTTCCTTCCCTGTGTCCATGTGTTCTCATTGTTCAATTCCCACTTATGAGTGAGAACATGTGGTGTTTGGTTTTTTGTTCCTGTGTTAGTTTGCTGAGAATGATGGTTTCCAGCTTCATCCATGTCCCTGCAAAGGACAGGAACTCATCATTTTTATGGCTGCATAGTATTCTAAGAATAATTAAACACAATATTTTGTATGTAAGGAAAATATTAAAAAATTGAAACAATGTTTATGTTCTTGTTAAGAAATATATGTGAGAAAATCTTAAAAGTAAATGTAAAAACAAAACAGAGTCATTGTCTTGAAAAAAAAAAAGAAGACATACCCAAGACTGGGTAATTTATAAAGGAAAGAGGTTTAATGGACTCACAGTTCCACATGGCTGGGGAGGCCTCACAATCATGGTGGGAGGCAAGGAGGAGCAAGTCACATCTTACATGGTTGGTGGAAGGCAAAGATAGAGAGCTTATGCAGGGGAACTCTTCTTTATAAAACCATCAGATCTCATGAGACTTATTCACTATCACAAGAACAGGATAGGAAAAACCCATCCCCATGATTCAATCATCTCCCACTGGGTCCCTCCCATGACCTGTGGGAACTGTGGGAGTTAAATTCAAGATGAGATTTGGGTGGGGATACAGCAAAACTATATCAGACTCTTTTGAAGGAAGCATTCCTAACCCTGATCCACAGACAGTTTTTGCAGAAACCAGGTTCAAGTTTATATATGGGCATGTGCATTCTTCTGAGGAGAGGATCCAAAGCTTTTATATTATCAGAGAGATATGTGACCCAAAAGAGGTTAAAATCCACTGTCAAAGATCTTTCCATGTGGTTATCCGTAGCAATCCGATAATTACTATGAGGAAGCTGAAGCTTAGAGAGGTTATGTACTTGCTCAAGTCACTAAGTAGTGGGAATAAGATCTCAGGGAATGAGAGTGAAACCAAGATAGGCTGAGTGCATACTCTGAACCACCAGCCTCTCCAGTGTGGGAGACAGCTCTGCACTGTCTTTCCGTTTCCTAGAAACACTTGTCACATGTTGAACTTGTTCAGGACTTGTTTTCTGTTGGTACCTGGAACAGCAAGGGTCACTTAGAGCAGACAGTCTCATCTTTGGCTGAAATAAGGAGTTCGTTGGTAGCTGGTAGATATCCTGATGCTCAGGGCCACATCCCAACCCAACTCAGTTGAGTCTCTGGGGATGGGACCAAGACACCAGTATGCTTTTAAAATTCTTCAGGTAATTCTAATGGGTAGTCAAGTTTGAAAATCATCAACCAGCAGCATCTGGAATGGTGAAATGAGACTGAGTGCAATTTAGGAAACCTAGGTTTTGGTCCCAACTTACCCACAAATTGGTACATTAACCCTTTATTGTTTCCCACTCCCAGGGCTCTCCTAAGCCTGGATGCTCCATCATTATTAGCCTTTCCTTCTCTCTCCTAAATCTAAGCCTTGTTTGTTTTTCAAAGCCCAGCTCCTTACATGTTCCCCCAAAGCACTGCTAGTTCCTCTCTCATTTACCCAGCACTGCTGTTTGTTCTGTGTCAATCTCAGCCTCCCCTCCTAGAATCCATCTGAGAGTTCCTCCCTTAGGTCTTCTCCCCTCCTTGCCCCCAGTGTCTGACATACAGTAGTCACTCAGCAAATGTTCCTGGATGAATGGATACATGACCACCTGATCTTTAGGCTATTACATATCTCTTAGCCATCCTCACCACACTTTTCAAATCAGTGTCCCCACTGAAGTTATGACGCTCTTTCAATGTCCAATATTAATTTCTAGCACAGTTGCTGGGCAAGGATGTTTTGCTGGGATTCTTTCAGCTGTTCCAGTGAAGGAGAAATGAAAAGGAAAGCAACTGTATCTACTTCATTAAAATTTGTATACAGTATTATTTATAAACTGCTGGCCAATGGAACTGAAGTGGGATAATTTGTTTTGGAGAGCTCAGTTATTCGACACTTCAGCTGCTTTTCAAACTACCGCGCTTTCCCAACTTGGGTGCATCTGATTGATTTTAGCTGTTTCTCAGAGTCCCTGTTCAAGGGCATCTGCTCAGCCTCTGGCCAGGGTGGAGTGCAGAGCCTGCTTCTCCGCCTCAGTAGTTGCCTCTACTTTCCTCACAGTCATCTCTAATATCGTAGTGCTCTTTCTGATGATTTTTCAGCAGCCAGTCCCATCCCTGCTTTTTTAAAGCCCCGGTTTTTCTTCAGTGTTCCCAAAGGGCTCTATTGAGATTCTCCAAATGCACTTCTAATTCATGGAATTAGTTAGAGGTGGACAGGGAGAATGTGATATTCTCATAGAAAGGAAAGGAAATGCATAGGATCTTGGACCTAGAGGCCTGGCGAGTCCCAGAGATGTGGCTGTTTATGGATATGGCTCTTCTGCCTCTGGAAATTTAGCTTTACAATATGTTGACAGTCACAACAGGCAAACATAATGGTGACGGAGGGCTCCAAGGAGCAGGGTGTTAGATTATCCTCACCAGTCTCCTAAACTTAACCTTGGAAAGGAAGATGACAGGGTCACCAATGAGATACCAGGCTAGTGCTGGGACTCTAAATCTGGGGAAGCATAGGAAAGGGGAATAAAACCTGGCTCCTAATTCTAAGAGGCCCAAGACGGGTGTCATCAGCTCAATTTAACATTCATGAAGCTGCAATGATATAAAACTGATATTGCTTTTCCAAGTCTATCATGTGCAAATCAATTTGAATTAGCCACGTTCTGTTTAGCATCAAACATTTGGATCTGGAATGTCTTCATTAACCATAAGCAGCTTTCTTCATGTCAGCTTTAGTGTCACTCAAAAATACCAATAGTAATGATAACAATAATAATATTCATAATTAACATTTATTGAAAATTTATGTGGCACTCCCGTGCTATGTCCTTTGCATACATTTTCTTATTTAAGTTTTATAATAAACCCTGGATATATATACTTCTCTGATTTTGCAGAAGAGGATGTTAAGCCTTAAAATAATTTGCCTAAGCTCTGTGTAATTTTAGAATATGTGTTTCTGATCATTACTTTGTAAAGCCTCCTTAAATCATCTATATTGCTCAGAGGCACCTACCTTCCTGGGGACTATGCTTAGGTTCAGCCTTCACCTTTTCTCTGTCTGCAGCAAGCAGTCATCATAGAATCTGTTTTACTTTACTTAAAAATCCTTTTCTTCTGAGTTTTATAGAGTACTGCAAATAAGTTCCTCCAGACAAGATGGTAAGGTATTTGAGCCCTCCATTTCTATTGAATTGGCTAATGGAATATATACATTTAGAAAAAAAACTGTATCAGCTCTGGAAACCAGAGATTTATGCCAATCACACTTTGTGACATCAAAGAATTTTTGAAATCTATTAATAGGATTTGGACTGAAAAAAGTCTACATGGAGCATCCTGTTTAAGAAAAAGCAGTGTGTAGTGAATTATATGGAGGGACATGAGTGGGCTATTGACTTGGAGGAGTGGGTACTGGAAGTGAAATCAGGCTGTAGGGACATTCAGTGCTCATGATTCCAATTGCTCTTCTGTGAAAATGTAGAATTGGTCCCCAACTTGGTTCCCCAAGTTGCACTAGTGAGATCTGGAGTTTACTCCTGAAACATGTAGCACCAAGCAAAGATCTGCATATTATGAAGAATTTGTCTTGATGCCAAAGAGTTAAATCCAGCAGAGACAGAGATACCATATGGTGAGTAAAGTTGGTTTTACTGATATCTCAACTAGAACAACATTTATGGCTAAGAATTTCCCTTTGAATAATACGTTGGCTTTGTCCTTTACATTTCAACATTAATCCCCCTAGTTTCATTGCCTTTGCAATGATCACATCAGTGTCTTCATTGGCCCTGAGGTTCTTTCAGGGACATTTTCTTTTTAACTTCCTCTAGTTTTCCTTCCTAACTCTAACAACTTGGGAATACTATTGTAATTTCTATTTTTATTTTTACTGTGGTCAGATAATGTGGCTATAGAATTTATGCATTTTGAATTTATTAAAAATTTATTTGTTGCCTAACAGTAAATAAAAATTTGAAATACTGCATAGGCATATATTCTCAGTGGAATGCTAAGTTAGTCTCTCTTTCTGTCTTTCTCATTTAACTCTTAGAACCTTATTAATTACATGGGTCAAGTCTTTTATAACATTGCTTGTGATTATCATAGATTGTGAGTACCTTATTAGATTTTTTCACTCTATTTTCATTTGTGTATTCTTTTACAATTAAAACAGCTTTTGAAAATATGATTTAAATATGAAATTATTATGACTTACGAAATTATTATGACTTACACTATTATTAATTCTTAATGATCAATATGAGAAGTATGGGTAACATTTAATGTTTTAGTCCTATTCCTGCTCTGATTTTATTTGCATTTATGTCCTACGTAAATCTTTTTACTTAGGACTCATATGTCCTAAGTAAATCTTTTGGCTTTTAATGTTTCTATGTCATTTACTTTAAGTTTCACTTATAGGTAATATATCATTGTTGTATTTTTAAACTTTATCTGAGATGATTTTCGGTTTCTTTTTACTAAGAGGGTTTAACCTATTTATGTTGACTAATATAACATTTGATCCCCTTCAATTTATTTGTTTAATGATTTCTCTTATTGGTTTTTTAGATCTTATTGTTTTGGCTTTATTTGGTAAATTTTATAATTTGTATGGGAATATTTATTGGTTATTTTCTTTTGTAGGTGTTTGAAAAGTAGGTATGCCATGATTAATTTTATAAGAGGTTACCTTAAAGGTTTTTAATGGCAATCTTAAAATATGTTAAATTATTTATGTTCATAGAAAACACATTTTCCATGTGGTGGTGAAGTGTTGGTGTTTTGGCTGTACCACGCCCCCCCACTCCAAAGGAAATAAGTTTTAAAACTTGTTAAAACATCCTTTCAAGAAGGTCTAGTTTTGCTAGTGAGTTCTTTTTAACTGGCAAATATAAACTAATTATAATGCTGCATAAATGGTTTCAGAATATGGAAAAATAAGTAAACATACCCAATTTATTTTATGAATCTAGCATAACTGATAGTGAACATTTCTATTTTATAGAATTCTTATGAAGACAAAGTGAGATAATAGATATAATGTTCTCAGCACAATATCTAGTACATATTTAGTACTTATTATTATATCAATATAGGTGCAAACAACTATTCATTAAACACTTATTCCTGATAAAACTCTTTAAAAATGAGGACAAGAAAGATAAAAATTATAGTTCATTTGGTTTATAAAAATTTTCAAATATTCTTCAAAATTTAATTTATAAAACCACTGGAACATAGTTTTCCTTCTCTTGACTTGGGCACATATGTCTTCCTCCTTGAAATCACTTGGAAGTTGTATTTAAAATACAGGTTCTTGGGCCTTACACCAAGCTACTGAACCAGAATTCCCAAGAAAGAAGTGGGGTGGTTTTTTTCATAAGCACCCCAGGTGATTTTGCTGATTAAGGGAATTTGGGGAGCACTACAGATCTGGCACTGGGGCTTTTAGATATTCTTGTTTTGGCTTTATTTGATAAATTTGAAGTGATTATTAAAATACTCACAGCATGGAATAATAGGTTCCTTCCAAGTCAAAGCAAATAACATTAAAATTAATTAGAAGGGCCCTTTAAAGAATGTTTTAAAAGATTCATATATCACCAATATCTAACATCTTTCTTAGCAGAGAAAGAGAGGAAGTATTCTTAATAAAATCAGGAACAAGACAAGGACGGCTGCAATCACATTACAGTTTCACTCTGACAGCTTAGAGGCAAGCTCAGGTTCTGGAGTCCAGGGGTCCTGGGTGGTGACCCTATTTTCTTATCTAACTACCTGTTTAATCCTTGGCATGTTTCTCTCTGTCCTTCAGTTTTCTGAACTCGAAAATGAGGATAATAATAGTATCCCCCTGATGGGATGTGAGGGTTGAGGTGATCTCATGATGTGCTAAGTAGGGTGCATGGCCCATTCCTTAGCACTCACAAAAGTTAGTTTTCTAAAATTTTTGGTCATGTACACATGAGGAAGTGGCTCGGAGACAGGGTGGACTTGGCCCAGAGGACCTGAGTTAGTGGTTGTAAACTCTGGCTTTGGGGCTCAGCCTGACACTTTTCTCACACAACTACCTGCAACTTAAAAATGGACTTGGAAGATCTGAAACATGAGAAGCAAACAGCAGAAATAAATTTGATGTCCAGCACAGGTAAACCTGCCTGCATGCCCAGAATGCAAGCACTTGTGCTTCCTGGAAACAGCCTGTCTCTCAGAGTGACTTGGGCAAGGACTTCTAGCACCTTCCACCTTAGTGAGGGCAGCTGCAGAACAGATGGGAGAGAGTGCCACAGGACTTCCATCCCAGCCTTCTCTTGTAACCCACCTCTAGAAGGAAGCAGCAGGCCTCATACCCCGAATCCAAAGCCACCTCCACAGGGTGGCTTCCCTGAGGTGGGTGGTAGTGTAGATTTGCTCTCCCAGCCAGGACAGTTTGAAACTTTCAGCACGGAAACCACAGTTCAAGCTTGAAAATGTAGTGAGCTTAATTCTGCGGGTCTCGACTCAGACCTTTGAGCATCTTTCCTTCATGTAAACAAATCATGTTAGTTTTTCAGACTTTGGTGGCTGATGATCTTTGAAGGCAGGAAACGCTGCTGATGTGGGAACACAAACGTCTCTGGATGGGCGGGGCACATTGCAGTTCAGCCAGGTGGCATCAGGAAATGTCTGTGAGGGGAATGGCTGGGAGGATGAATGAAATAGTGAACAGCTGCACATAAACCTTTTTTGGTTTCCTTAGCGTGCTTGATTTTTTTATTCTCATTCATTCATAAAAGAAGATTCACGTCTGCTATGATGATAAGAGTAGATTTCCATTCCTGTGAAAACCGAAAATGCAGAGTGAAAGGCCAAAAAGGAAAAGGCATCAGGAGGCCTGGGTTCTAGTCCTAATTTGCCCCTAGTAGTTGTGTGACTTTGGGCACATTAGCTCAAATTCCAGTTTTCTGTAGAATGTGGTTGATGATATCCACTCTGCCAATCTCACTGGAGACTGTATAGCAATTCTCACAGAATCTTCATTGGGGACACGGTTCAATTCTTATTTATTCCTCTCTGTGTGTCTGAATACAGAAAAACTGCTCGATACATTTTTGTTGAATGAATGAATATTGTTATGAAAAAGCACTACAAAACCTAAGTAACTTTTAATTATCTTTTTATGTGTCTGCGTCTGCTACTATCCTGTGACTTTGCTGAGGGAAGGAAGGGCATCTTATTCACCATTGCACTCCTACAGTCTACACCAGTGCCTGGCAGGTGGTTGACTCTCAGATCATGTTGTAAAATTAATGAATGTAAGCTAGAGGTGATGCAATGACAAAGAAGCCCCCAAATCCTTGGTCCTTCCCTTGTTCTAAGTTTATTTATTCTGAAAATTCTGTCTGGTATTAAATGTATCTCAGTTCATTTTATCTGTGTATCTTCTCTCTTTTGTAAGCTGTGAGGTCCCCAGGGAAGGGAACTTACCTTCTATATTGGCAGTTTTCCTGGCCCCTGAAGAGATGTCTTCAGTGTGATGGATGAAGCAAATGGTACATAGGTCTGGCTGAATGCTGGACCAATGTATACTTTAAAAATAACATTCCTTTTTTATTATTATAAAAGTAATCGAAGTTTATGTTAGAATATTTGGAGACTACAAAATAGTATAAAAAAAGAAATAAAAAACCCTCACCCTAATACTACTACCCAAGGACTATTTAACATTAGAGAATTTTAGTTTTATTTGAAGTTAGCAGGATAAAAAGAAATTGAAGAAATTACTCAGCTTCTGGCAAATGTTTCTTCACTGTTAAGAGATGTTAATTTCTAAATGACTTCTCACTTTCACTCTTTCTCGTTGTAAGAAAATAAACATTAAGAAGTAGGTGTCCATGTGTTTTCATACATCTTTCATGGCCATGACTTTAAATTTCATGTAAAACTTATTTAAAGGTTAATAGACACTATTGATAAAAAAAACAGACAACACATTTTTTCTTAATAAATTAAGTTAAAATATTTGCACTAATTTTTTATGATAATTCTTTGATAGAGATTAATAGGGAAAAGCTAATGTATAATAACAATATCCTATAAATGTGACAAAGCTCTTTGAAGAAAGAAGAAGAGGCATATTATGCGGAAATTGGGAAAGTAAGGTAGGTTCCTATTACAACCTCAAATGCATCCATGACATCAGAGGATTAGTTTATTATTTCTTTTCTTCTGAGTTACTTGAACAATAGTTTTAACTTACTCATTTTTGCTAACATATACTTATTTTATACATTACAGATACGTTCTAAACCCTTAGCATATTTTAATGCTTTCTGTTCTCACAACTCCATGATTTTGCTGATGGGGAATTGAGGGCTTGGAGTTAATCAACCTGGTTAAGATCCCACAGCTGATACATAGCAGAGCAAAGGAGGTTTGCAGCAAAGGAGGTTGCAGAGCAAAAGAGGGTTTTCCACTTTCAGTAGATCTGTAAGGGACTTTGGAGAGTTTATCTAGTTTAACCATCTTGTTTCAGGGACAGGAAACTGAGGCCAGAGTAGTTAAATAATGCTCATGGTTCCCCAGGCAGTTATTAGTGGAGCTGGGCTGATCTCCAAGTCTCATTCTTATTCTGGTGTCTTCCCCATAATTCTGACCTTTGTTATTGTCACATAATCTATCCTGGGACTAAATCCTCTTAGCTATGAAAGCTATATGCTTGGAGCCATTGAGGATGCTGATATTTACTCTCACCAGTTGTATCAACTTTGGTGTGTGCAGGATCCCCTGGACCAGTAAATCTGTCTCCAGTGCTGGGAGTGTCAACAGTATGTTAAGAGATGGGTTAGAAAAAACTAGAGGTTTAGATGATTGCGGGTTCCAGACATGCCAGGAAGGTCCAGGCCATCATTTCCCCTCCAATTTCACCCTTGTCTCTTGGAGTTAGAACCATAGGTGAGAAAGGGTTAGAGGGAATACAGCTACTATGTTTTCTTAGGCAAATCATCGATGCCAGTCAGCAAGTGTGGGCACAGACCATGTGTTGAGTCTTGGAGACGCTTTCCTTTGTGTCTTCATTTTCAACACTAGCTTCTTGTTGTTTTTTAGCAAAGGTTTGGTGGTGTTCCTCAGGTTTCACCCTTTCAACATCTGAATGTCATTCCTTTGGCTAACTGATTTTTTTTTCTCCACTTCTTCACTTGGTGATGACAGGAGAAACTGTTGGATTTTTAAAAGTCGATTTAGTGGTCCATTTGCAAGAAGCCACATCGCAACCAATCTGTTCTTAAGATTTGGAATTGATTTGATTCATCTTCTCAGATGGCTTATTGAAATTGTCTTTAGAATGTGTGTAAAATGGGTGTTGTGTGCTCTGCTGATGGCACCAGACTCAGAATTTCCATCCAGGTATTTATTTAATTGTCTTTTCTAATTCTCTCTACTGACACTCATCTTGAAGTTTACTTTTGCCATTTTGTTGGAACAGCACTCCACCCCTGCCCCAGACATTTAACTCCTTTCAGATAGATCCAAGCCCAACCCTGAAATTCCCAGGTTGGCCCTAAATCAATGCCAGACTGTGCCGCATGTTAGTAATGGCTCACACTTCAGGGAGAAGAATTTTCATGAGCAGTTTCAGAGATGCAGATAAAAGCAGCAGAAAGCCCACACACAGGCTATAGTGATCATTTCTGAGACAGGTAGAAAAGATGTATGGTGGAGAGAGGATAAACTCGTTGTTAGAAATAAAAATGAATATTAGGAATGCGTGTTAGAAAGCCCGAGGCTCTCCAAATTTAAGCTGAACTCTTTAATCACATTTGAAATTTGGTCCCAAGACAAGAATAAAATGATGCAGGGTCTTCTGAAGGGAATGATGGTCTAGTGGTGTGGGCTGTTTCCTGGGGCCTTCTCCATGAC
Source organism: Homo sapiens (assembly GCF_000001405.40). NCBI lineage: Eukaryota > Metazoa > Chordata > Mammalia > Primates > Hominidae > Homo > Homo sapiens. The sequence goes on along the minus strand of NC_000002.12, from coordinate 19,556,489 downwards.
GGACTTGCTGCTCTTCAGAAAGGAGGGCTCTTCACTCTGTGACACAGTGCAGAAGCACAGCCTTAAATGTGTGTGGATCCTTCATGAAGGTATGGGCAGTGGGCTAGGCTTTGCTTCAGCTTTGCTTTCCTTACCATCAGAATCTATGTTACACAAGCAAGCATTTTATGAGACAAACTTGGGAAGATCTCCTCTCCTCTGTGAATCAGTTTTTTTTCCTCTGCAAAATCAGTGATTTAGAACGTAGATGCTTCCAGGGACATTGTTCTGTTACCACTATGATTCGTTCTCTACAAAGATTTTGGAATCATAAAGCTGAAGGTACCTGAGAAGTTATCTGGTCGCACTTCCTGGCTCAGTTAGCCTTTGCCATTTATCAAACACATAAAAACATAGTTGTTTCAAGCAAAATAATGTATACTTTCTCAGAATTCTGTGGGCTGGCTGAGCTATCTCTCTTCTGCTTTCCTGGGGTGACTCAGATCACTGATGTCTGCTAGAGTGCAAGGTTGTCTCCAAGGTCCGATGTGGCCTCACTTACATGTCTGGAAGTTGGTGCTGGCTGTCATTGGGAGGTCCTTGTTCTTCTCCGTATGGTCTCTCATCCTCTAGAAGATGAGGGAAGCTTCCTTATGTGGCACATTCAGGGCAGTGTTCTACGAGGGGGAAAGCTGCAAGGCCTCCTCACCTCTGGTCTCAGAAGTCACAGAGGTCACCTTCGATACATTCTATTGGACAAAGCAAATTACAAGCCCCTCCCAGATTCAAGGGGTTGGGAAGTAGACTCCACCTCTTAATAGTAAATTGGCAAAATCACACTGCAAAAAGGCATGCAGGATAAAAGGAATTGTTTTGGTCATCTTTGCAAGCAATCTACCACACTTCCTAGTCACACCAACAAGAAACCAAGGCACAGAGAGTTCACTGAAATAGGCCAGTGTCATGATAATGAGGAAAATCCAGCCATTCTTACTCCTCTAATCCAGTGCTATGTTCATTCCAGAACACACACTCCCCAATGGCCACTTTCAAGTTCATTCATCAACCATAATAAATATTGGCAATGCACCGCATACCCAAAACTGCTGCACATTTTGATGGATTCAATAATCAATAACAACTCACCTCTTTTCCTTCAAGTAACCTATAACCTACTATGCCAAGGATGATATTCAAAATGGGTTAACTGGCCAAGTTTTAAATAGGGCCATAACCTATTTCTTTAGTCTGTCTAAGAATGTGTTATAGGAGGAAATAAAAGTCTCTCCTTATTTTGAGTTCAATAGGCATTACTATATATTTTAACCAAGACAGTTGAGGTTCTTTTCCACTTTTTGCAATCTCCTCTGCAGTAAGTTTAATACACGAAGAAAGACAATATCCAAATTATCATAAATCTGTCAGCATTCTGTTTCAGAACAGAGGCAAATGGAGCTTCCATGTATCTGAAACGTTGTATGTATCTGGATTACCGTTTTTATCCTTTAATGGGGTGGACCTCAGGGTCATGTTTTATTATATGGATCTTAAAAATGTAGAGCTGGAGTTTCAGAGGAAAGGGTTGAGAGGTGACCTGAGTCAGGGTGGGACATTAACCTCTGACCTCAGAGACTGATGGATCTCAGGCAGCATTGCACTCTAAAGGGGAGGCTGTTCTGGCACAGGGAGGGAGAGCAGACTCCCTGGTGTTTCATTTTCAGCTTTGAAAGGTTAAACTTAGGCTTGCCTTTGCCCTCTAACCTGCCAAGGCCACCCCATAGCAAAGCTCACCTTTAGAATATCTCACTTCCTCTTCTTGGAACTTATTCTGCTCTCCCCCATCCTTCTGGTACGTGGTGCACATTTCTTCTCATCAGCTACTCCATCCCATACTTGGCTTTCAGAAAATAATCAGCTGCCAGTCATCCACACTTCAGTGTGAGTGTCAGGTAGTGGGCAAACCTGATAGTAATGAGGTGGGGTGTCCCACCTCATTCGTGGGACAAGGATTTCCAGTCATCATGATGTAGGCTCTAAGAACTTTGCTGAGTGTGTGTGAGATTGCACCTGCTGCCTTCTCTTCTTTTTACCCACCCAGAGAATCTAAGATTGTTGAGTAATAGAATTTCAGGATTGGAATGGTCGATAGAAATATTGTTGATATTTCTTATTTTGCTAGTGAAAAAACTGAGACCCAGAAATAGTGGCTTGACATGTGAAACAATTAGTTAGTGGCAGAGTTGGGATTCAAATGAAAATCACTAGATCTTTAAACAAGCAAAGTTGGAGCCAGATACTATTTTTCCTTCCTGAGAAATCCATCTACACAGAGCTGGATGGTTTTCAGTTGTATAATCTTCATAGTTTTTTATAATGCAGCAAAGGTGAGGGGTAAGGTTTTTGGTACAAAAAAAGGGAATAAGGAACTGAAAGGAAGCTTTGAGTTGCTGTATTTTTTATTGTTGCTGATGCAATATATGGAAGTGGCATCAGAAAAATAGCATTTGACAGATGGAGGCGGGCTTTAGCATTCAGACATAAGTGTACTATGTGGTCTTGGCTGCTCTCATAATTTCCTTGTTCATATATCGAACAAAGAATAAGAATAGGTAATCTCTAAGCAAATCCAGAGGCTTTCTAGCTCTGGAACTGGGGGAGATAAGATACTGATTCAGCAACCAGAATGCGCACAGACTTGGCATAATGAGGGGTGGTTATCAGCTGTTTTAGGGACAGCAAAAGTGCCAGTTTGTGTAAGAGGAATGACTTTCGTTGGCAACTTTTAGTAAAATAGGGATGATAGTTACTTTCTTGACACGATAAAATATGCCTATCAGGAAGAAGAATGTTCACTCATGTCACCATAATTAAATGTTCTCTAGAATTTGGGTATTGTCTTTCTTCGTGTATTAAACTTACTGCAGAGGAGATTGCAAAAAGTGGAAAAGAACCTCAACTGTCTTGGTTAAAATATATGGTAATGCTTATTGAACTTACTTTTCTGAAGGAAATGCCTCTGGTGACATAATTCCCTTGCTCTTGACAATGCCATTAGCACCTAATGTCTCTTGTTTTGGGAACTCTTTAAACACATGAAAATATGACTCCTAGTTCTTTATTGAAAAAAAGTGGCTTTTTAATGGTAGAATTTTAGGCATCATTGACAAGCAAGTAGGAGAAACATTTTAGACAGGAGCTTTCTAAATGGTCTCCAAATCATACTTTGACATCTTTCTATTGTGTTCTCATTGGCTCATCTTCAAGGGAAGCCACTTCATAACAGCTCCTTACTCACATTCTTACTGATTTGATAGGAAGGATAGCTCCAGAAAGGAGCAGGAGTCACCAGAGGACTTCATTTCTCATCTACCTCTTAGCAGCCAGGAGGATGTGACCAAGGCAGTTAATACAACCAAACCCCTGTATGTTTTTATGAAAACAGATGTCATGATTCCTATTCTGTCTGCTTTAAAACATTGTTTTAAGGAGCAAAGTGTGCATAAAGTGTTTTATTTTTTAAGGAAATTTATAGATATGAGGGATGGTTGCTGTTTGAATCCCTCAAGTCCATGGGTTTTCATGGCTCCCAAGAGCCTGCACAGCTACACATCTGCCCTCTCCCTATAAAATCACAGCCTTTTCATAGGTGTGCACCCAAAGCCTGCACACTGACTCCCATACACCTAGCGTGTGTGGCTTTTTGCATAAGAGCCAGCTTGGAATTGCGTTAGCAGAGCAGGTACAGAGAAAAAGCCTGGGGCTTTGGAATTTTTAAAAGGGAACCAACACCAACATCTCTGAAATAAATTGATTTGGTTGAAACTCTTCCAAAGAAATTACCTTAATTCTGAGACTAAATATGCTGCATTCCAGCCCAAATGGACTTTTCTTGGCCAATCCCCTGAGAAGTAAACATTGAAGTTTAATAGGGAAAGGGCAGTGGAACTTGCAGTTTTAGCTTACTGATGTCACTCCTTGCTTTTTGAGCCAAAGAACAAGAAAATCCAACACTTCCTTCAAGTATGAAGGCATCAGATGAGAATGAAACAAATACGTTTGTGGTTTCTATATATTTTGTTTTAAAGAAAAACACAGAAATTGAAGAGGATACATTTTTCAGAATCTTGACAGACATATGTGCTTCTTCTGAGAGGGGCCCACCTGGGAATCTTGGCTGTCTTGTACAAAAGGCTGTCTTTTTATTTCCTCTATTAAAAAATAAGAGGAGCACAGAGGAGCTAAACTGTGGAAAGACTTAGTGTTAAATCAGACTATAAAAATCAGACCCAGGAAGATTATCTGAGAATCAGGGCTTAGTCGAGCTTTTGAGCTGAAAGGCAAGTGTTCATTTAGCTGGTGAGAAAGTGAGAAAATCAAGATCTAGAGACTGTAACTTACGCTAAATCAACATGGCTTCTGTCAGCAAGGCTAAACTGGAACCCAGGGCTATTTGGCAACAGGACTCCTTTTATCTTGTTTGAGAACAAATCATTCCTTCGTAGCAGAGATATATTCTTGGGGCCACCCCCAAGTCTGGAGTTCTCACACTGCCCTGCAACATTACTTTAAGTAATTACATGATAAGGTAGTGCCACCTAACTTTAAGCAGTTTATAGCTAACTTCAAATGGCTGCTGATTGGAGTCCGGTATTCCAAGGCCTTTTTCTGGGCAGGCAAATCAAGCATTTGATTTCGAATGTACTAGAAGAGTTTGCTATTTGGAGCCATCTCTTGATGATTTCCACTGGAGAATGCAGAATACTTTGTGAATTCAATTTGATTATATCAACTTGAAATGGACACTACTGAGCTCAGCAGATGCTCAAAGGTGGGGAGCAGGCTCTCCACTGGGAGGTGGCTCACAGTCCAAAGAAGGAGAGAGGGAGCAGTGGATGGCAAGGATTGGAGTGTGTTTATCCACAGCTCCTTACATCTAGTAAGTATTTAAAAAAACATTTGGCGATTGCACATAGATGGGTAAATGTTATACTGGTGGTAGAATTGCTGTGAGTTAGAGAAGAGGGGACAATCCATCTTCCTGGGGTGTGGAAAAGAACAAGGTCAAAGAAAGCTTCAAAGCTGATATTTGATCTGAGCCTTAAAGGAAAGCACATTGCAGAGCAAATAATCATCCATTTGTCTAAGTTTCAAGTTATTCAGTTCTGATACTTTAAAGGGGTGTCCCACTAGTATGTACATAAAGTACCCAAACCTCCCCGGTGTGGAAATGACCCCTGGGACGGAGAGCAAGGCTCAGGGGTGCCCAGCTTGCTGTCATCAGAGCTGTGGTGTCTGCTTCTGGGCTGAGATTTGAGTTTTGTCCTCAGTGGCTGGAGCCCCGACCTCAGGGTGGCCTCACCTGACTTCCTGCAATGCCCTCACTCAGGTCCCTGGGACAGGCTGTTGTACTTGGCCTCCCTCCACCCCCAGGGTATGCAATTACTCAAACTCCCAGCTGCTCCCAAGCCCCACACTGAGTTTCCAAAGAAAACCTGTGAAAACAGATCTCCGGTGGCAGCTTCGGCCACATTTGGCAACTGTACACGTCCTCGGTCCACCAGCAGACTCTTGAGTCCCAGACGCTCTCTGCTCCAGATGCAACGTAGCCTGGATGGACACTGTCTTTGGGGTGTATCCAGGAAAGATCTGCCCGGGGAACTCATAGGTCCGGTGTTTTTCTTTTGGCTCCATCCAAGCCAAATGGAGCTGGATGTCTTTGCAGTGCGCTCTGTCTCTTGCAAGTGTAGGCTCCTATCTCTGCAATCCTGCAGCAGGAGAAGGGCTCTCCTTGTATATGCATCACCTCATGGGGACTGGGAATCCCTATCCTCTTTTTGTATGGGGAACACAACACAGTATCTCTGTGGGACCTCCCTGCCCAGGTGCCTGTCTTACCCATTGTCCTGCTCTCTCTGGGTTTGAATCTGCCATGTCTTTGCTTTCTTCCTTCTCATCATCCCACTTTGATGACCTCATTCAGGTCACCATTTGCCTGTATTATTTTAGTAGTCTCCTAACTCTTCTCCCTCGCTATGTTGCTTTCATTCTTTGAAAGCATTCTATTGCCAGACTTACTTTTCTGGAGGAAATGCCTCTGTTGACATAATTCCCTTGCTCAAAACCCTTCTAGGCTAGCTTGCCTACTTATCCTTGCCCAAGAAGATCAAAACTTTCTCTGATCAAGGCCCTGTGGCCACGAGGATCAACTATAACTTGTGCTTTTCCACCCACAGCACAGAGATGTTTCTTGGAAGTGGCTGCCCAGTCAGGCCACTGCCCTGCTCCCACCCAAACCTGAATCTAGAGTTGCAAATAAAATGTAAGCAGAGCCAGGTTGTTGAGAAAGGGTGTACTTCCTACCCTCTCTTTCTCATTCCACGCTTTGCAAACTGAGAAGTCAGTCCCTTCTGGGTAGAGGAGGGACAAGGTGGAAGGAGTATGGGTGTCAGAACACATCTTGGAGTCAAGCATTTTGCTGACAAGGAAAAACTTTGTTGTTCTGTTTTGTGAGGGAGAACTAGTCATTTATTGTATTAAGCCATTGGAAAGTTGGGTTTTCTGTTTGTTTCAACTATTGTTACATTGACTAATCCAGGCTTCAGTTGCCTTTCTAACTGTATTTTCCATTACTCTCATTTATAACCCTATCTTTAGGCCATACTTGCTGTTCTGCATAAACTCTTCTTCCCTACCTGTGTGCACCTCACCCTATCTCTGTAGGCATCTTTATCCTCACCTCTATGAATGCACATTGTTCTGAGTGTCACCCAAGATGCAGGTGATAACTCTCCACTCCACCCAGCTTCCCTTGGCTGCTGCAGTTACAGGGCAGGTTCCTCTGGTCACTTTATCTGTTCCTCTCTCACTCTGCTTACCTCGGCCCACTGTGTATTATCGGTAGTGATTTTCTTCTCTTCTTTCCCTTGCCAACTTGTACATTCCCAGAAGGTAGGGAAGGTGATGTTTGCTTTACCTTTATTATCCTCATAGCTCTGAGGGGTCCTTTCTACCCAAAACCTTATATTTAAAGTCACCTTGTTATTATAGAATTAATGATTAGAAGAATAAATGAATACTAAGTGTAGGAACTTCTTGTGGCAAAATGGTAGGATCAGCAGTGTTGTCTCCCCTTCCCACCATCTCTGCTTCTCCTCCCTCCCCGCATGTATGACATGGTGGTGACAGACAGTCCAGAGTCTCAGGGCTAGACTGCCTAGATTGGAATCCTAGCCCTGCCATTTCCCATCAGTTATGTGACTGTGGGCATGCCCCTAGCTTCCGTGCCTATTTCCTCATTGTGAAATGGATAATCACTGACCGACCCATTAGGGGTGTCTGAGGATTCGGTGGGGTAGTTAGTATTTCCAAATTTCTTAGAATGGCAGTGGGTCACCGAGGCACAATCTGAGTGCTCACATTGTTATGAGATCTTTGGGGTGTCAAATTTTCTGGCCAGAAATCTCTGTAGCCACGGTGTCTTTGCCCAAGTTATTGTCTGGTGTCCAGGAAGAATGAGGTATGCAGACAAGTGAAGGGTGAAGAAGAGTTTTATTTAGTGTTAGAACAGCTCAGAGGAGTGGGTAACTCCTCTCTCTGTAGGCAGGTCATCCCATTGTGTTCAGCTCTCAGCAGAAAGGAGGCCTTGGAGAGGGTGACTCCTCTCCATAGGCAAGTCATTTGGATGTCTCTGCAGGTCTCTGAAGCTCTCAGCAGAGAGGGTAGCTCCTCTCTGCCCACAGGTATCTCTGTGGCTCTCAGAGGAGAGGGTACTCCTTTCTGCAGCTGGTCATCCCATCATCTCCAGCTATCAGCAGAGAGGGTACTCTTCTTTGCAGCTGGTTGTCTAGTCCCATTTTCTCTCTGCCCTCTTAATCCTCTGGCAGTCCTCTGCTCTGCTCTGGCTGAGCCCAGGACTTTTATGGACCTCAGAGGGGAGGAAGTCCATGCTGATTAGTCCATGGATGACCATAGGTGGCCTGGAAGAGGCACCATGAGTCCCCACTCCAGTAGCAGAACTGGTAGTCTGGTCCCCAGCCTTCAGGCCCTCCCTGGCCTGAAGGTGGGGCCTTTACTGGGGACCCACCCCCTTCCTCCCAGGACTCTGTCTGCCTCCTGCTGCCATTGAAGGCCCTGGGGCTTGGCCCCAACCCCACTCCAAGATGGGAGTAGGCACCTGGAGTGGAGAGAGGCCAGGCAGTGAGAGCAGACACCCCTGAGCCTGCAGGGATGGGGGCAGGGAGGGGCCCCCGAGGGTTGAGGCTGCAGAGACACCCAGCTCCTGTGCCTGGGAGGGCAGCAGCAGCCACACCTAGGGAAGGCAGATCCTGCCTGCTCCTTGCTCTCTACCAAGAGCACAGGGAGGCTCTGATCCACAGCTACAGTTTGGGTGGCTGTAGCCCCACCCAGGAGAGTGGGGCTACTTCCTGCTCCATAGAGCAGGAGGCCTGGACCTGCAGCTGTGGTTTGGGTGGCTGCAGTGGCACCTTGCTGCAGCAGCATCCAGGAAGCTCCCATCCCAACTCAGAAGGGGCGAGGCTCCCACTGGCTCCACGGAGTGTGCAGCCCCAGCCATGCCTCATTGCTGCAGCCAGCATGATGGCAGCAGCCACTGCCATCAACATCCCATGGCTCCTTGTTCCTTCCCACTCTTCTGTTTGTACATCTGGGCCTTCTTAGACTCTGAGGAATCGGAACAAGATCAGTCGAGAGCCTGGATGATGGATGGGTTTCCCCTGGTGTGTCACTGACCGTGAGCGAGGGGCTGCCTGGGCCTGTGTGGAAGGTGATTCTGAGCCAGAAAGTGAGCCAAGACCAATGGGCCATCAGTACCACTGATTCAGGAGAGGAAGTAGCAGCACATGTGCTAGGCATTATCCATTCTCAAAAGAACTGGGATTTTACTAGGGATTCTAATTTAGAGGAATGAAAATTCATTGAAGAATCTCAAGTACCTATAAGCAAATGTTCAGAATTCTGATGAATCATACAACCTCAGAACTGGAAAACCATAATGATGATGCACTACATACCCTTATTTAACTTAGTAAGAAACCAATGCCTGAAGAGAAGTGACTTGCCCACAGACTGATTTTATTTTTCCACTCAATCCACCAGCATTTGGCACTCTCTTATATTGGAGATAATATAAATTGACATAATCCTTTTGGAAAACATTTGGCAATATGCATCAGGAACCATAAGCATACTCATATACTTTCACTCTGTAATTCTACTTCTAGAGTACTTCCTAAAGAAATACTCTTTAGAGAAACCTATAGGCATAAAGATGTTAATTGTAGTAGTATTTATAGTAACACAAAACTGGAAAGAACCTAATGTTTACCATTAAAGGGGTTTTAGAATAAATTATGACATATATACCAGATGAACTATTATGTGATCATTATAAGCAATGGAGATAAAAACTATGAAATAATATGGAATATATTTAAAAGATATAATGTTAAATATAAAGCAAAATTTAAAAATATACGTAGAGTATGATTACAATGATATAAAATACATACAGGGGAAAGAAAGACATGAAAGAAATTTAAATAACTGTGGTTCTGGTATTTTTTTATTATCCAAAATTTTTGCAACACTTTTAACATTACTTTCAAAGTATCTAATAACTTTTTTTTTTTTGAGACGGAGGCTCACTCTGTTGCCCAGGCTGGCGCAATCTCAGCTCACCGCAACCTCTGCTTCCTGGGTTCAAGCGATTCTCATGCCTCAGCCTCCTGAGTAGCTGGGATTACAGGTGCACACCACCATGCCTGATTAATTTTTATATTTTTTTTAAAGACAGGGTTTTGCCATGTTGGCCAGGCTGGTCTCAAATTCCTGGTCTCAGGTGATCTGTCCACCTCAGCCTCCCAAAGTGCTGGGATTACAGGCATAAGCCACGAAGCCTGGCCTTAATTTTTATAATAACAAGTTTTATCATTATAAAACTTTTAAAGGCTACTTGTTACCTGCTGTAGGATAAAAGAAAGGACCTCAGTTCATCACTCAGGAATCCAACATCTTTCCCTTGTTCTTCCTTTCTATCCACATTGTCCCAGACACTTTCAAAATAATCCCTACATTCCGGTCAGCCTGGGTCTTGGTTGTGCTCTGTGCAAGGAGGACACAAGGTCAGTGAGAAAAACATGGAGCTTGGAGTTGGACCAACTTGTTACCCACTTTTGCTAATTTTTAGCTGGATGACTTTGGGCATGTTGCCTATCTCCCGGAAGCCTCTGTTTTCCCATCTGTAAAGTGAGAAATAATAATACTTACCTTTCAGCTTGGTGTAGGGATTAAATGAAGTAAATACATAAAGTACCTGTCCTAGCTTTCTTTCTGTTGCTATAATAGAATACCACAGGCTAAGTAATTTATAAAGACATGTATTTCTTACAGTTATGGAGGCTGGGAAGTCTAATAGCAAGGTGCTGGCATCTGATGACGGCCTTTTTGCTGTGTCATAACATGGTGGAGGGCATCATATGGTGAGAGGGCAAGAATGTATCTGTTAGCTCACATCTATCTTCCTCATCTTATAAAGCCACTAGACCTATCATGAAGGTTCTACCCTGATTACCTTATTTAACCCTAATTACCTCCTGATATAGTTTGGCTGTGTCCCCACCCAAATCTCATCTTTAATTGTAGTTTCCATAATCCCCATGTGTCCTGGGAGGGAACTGTGGGAGGTAATTGAATCATGAAGGCGGTTACCTCCATGCTGTTCCTGTGATAGTGAGTGAACTCTCATGAGATCTGATGGTTTCATAAGGGGCTTTCCCCCACCTTTGCTCTACACTTCTCCTTGCTGCCGCCACGTGGAGAAGGACGTGTTTGTTTCCCCTTCTGCCATGATTGTAAGTTTCCTGAGGTCTCCCCAGCCATGCTGAATTGTGAGTCAATTAGACCTCTTTCCTTTATAAATTAGCCAGTCTTCAGTATGTCTTTAATAGCAGCATAAAAATGGACTAACACACCTCCCAAAGGCCCCACCTCCAAATACTGTCAAAGTATGAATTTGGGAACTAAATTTCAACACAGGAAATTTGGGAAACATATTCAAACCATAGCAGTACCTGGCACAGTTTAAGTACCTTTAATAAAATTGGTTTCTCCCAGTGGAATTTTTCAGTTCCGTTTTCCCCATCCCTCTTGCCTGGAATCCTTGCAGTTTTCTGATTTTTAAATTATGTGATATGATATGTGGGAGGTGCTTTAAAGCAGTGCTACTCCAGCTATGGTCTGTGGCCTGTTCTCAACAGGATAGGTGTAGAAATAGAGTAAATATTCATATGATTATGTCACAAATGAATAACAAGTTGAGGCCCAGCACAGCACTTGTGTGTCCTGCTTTAAAATAGTCTGAGGGGGAATAGGAGGGGTGGAGAAATGGAGAGAAAGACAGGTGAAAAGTTTGGCCAAAATATTGAATATTGGTGGCTGGTACATAGGGTGGGGTTCTCTACACTATTTTACTTGTGTGGATATTTGAACATTTCGATAACAGGTTCTGAAAGTTCCTACACAAACTTCCTTTGAGATCTAGCTTTAGCCCTGTTTTGTTGGGGATATTTTTTCTATGCATTTTGTTTTTACTGATCTCTTACTTTTAATGACAAAGTTTCATGGTGACTTATGTTTTCGTGTGTGTGTATACACTCACATACATATATAAACACATTTATACATATGTATACATATATGCACACATATATAATCTCCAAATTGAATATAAAGTCCCTGAGGGCATATATCCTGCTTCATATTTCTGCTTGCCCCATACAAATTTTTTAAAAACATGGAGATGCCCAATCATTGTTTTGTGATGGATTTAGATTAGGTTTTCCAACTTGTCTAATGTTTAACAAGGTACTTGTTAAAAGCACAGATTCCTGTGCCCCTCCCTGGAGATTCTGATTTGCTTGGCCTAGGGTAGAATATAGCCAATAGATCTGCCAAGAAACCCTTTTTCCTTAGAGTCAGAAGACCAGTTTTGTTTTATAATGTCCTCTATTAAAGTGAGCATGCATTTAGAGGGGGAAAGTCAGTTCCAACATGGACTGAGGCTAGCTGACTAGCACTCTCAGTCTCTACTCCTCCATCTTTGGCCCAGGACAAAGAGTAATAATCTGGAGTTGAAATGGGAAAATGATCGTGGTGAAAGTGGTCTCTGAGAGACAAGATCAAAGAGAAAAAGATAACTGATTTTTAATCAACACTGAAGCTATTTGTTGTACTTATATGTCAATGGGCTCTGAAAATCCCTTCAATAATGTCCTTTCAATTATTTAAACAACTTTCACTATGACTCAGCAACATGGAACAAGTACCCACAAAAAGATCATGAGCCTAAGAAGCAAATACTCTATGAGGGTCTTGATTAAAGCTTATAAATAATAATAGACATAATGGGTTCCATGCATTGGGTGCCTATGCATCAAGCACTATGTTAAATGACAGACATGCTTTGGTTCTAGTACAGTTGAAGAAACCAACACTTCAGGAGATTAAGTGGCATGTCCGAGTCCACACAACTTATACATGACAAAGCAGCTATCTGAACCCAGAACAGTTTGGTTTTAAAAGTCATCTTTCTAGTATGCCACATTGCTTCTTTGCATGCCCAGTACCTTGCCAGGGCAAGAAAATGGGGAATTCTCAGTAAACACTGGTTAAATGACTGAGTGAATATTGCACAATGTTAGGTTTTGGTTTGTTTTCAAGCCAGTATTGGAGGCCAGAATGCTCAAAAGCAGGATATAGAAAATTTAGAGGAAAAGTCTAGAAAAAAATATTTGTTTAAAGAAAAGAGAATAAAATGTTAAAAAAGTAATACAAGCAAAATAAAGATTTAGAGGAAGAATGAATTGATTGGTGTTATTAAACAGAGAGGAAAGAGCTAAGGAGCCCTCTAAATGGTCCTCCTGGTTTATGAAGTGAGGAGGAGAGTAGCGAGCAGTGGATGCATGGCTGGAGGAGCAGGTGGAGTCTCGGGGAATCACTGCCATGCCTAGGACTTACCAGGCTACTGGGCTGAGGCTTGTGGAATGGTTGACCATGGCATTTTGGATGGCAACCAATGCTGACTGCTGAGAAATGTACAGGGAAGGAAAGAACTGCAAAACTCACTGACAGCTCAGCTCATGATGCCTCATTCTTCTGCCTGCCCTGTACGTATATTATCCAGTATTCCACCAGTCACCTCTTCCCAGCATCAGTCTTGTCTATCACAACAACTGGAAATACCATTATCAGAATATAATTGCATTTCTGCAAAGAGGCCTGAGTCTCAGTGGATAATCTGACATCATAGGCCATGATGGATCATCTCGGACCATATGCCCTGAAAGACACACATACCATCCTTAAGCCAAAGATGATGTCACATGCACTCGTCTCTCTACTGAAGCTGCTGCCGCCAATAGGTTAGGTTCCTAATGAAAGCATGGAAAGGAGCAGAAAACTAGTATGTGTCCACATAAACTGGAAGCAGTGGAGTTACCCCATTAGTCAGCGATGGCCAGGGAATGAGTTGGTAAGGAGAGGCTCAGTTCTCACCTCCTTGACCCCGCATGAACTGTAGGGCTGGCTCTCTTCCTCAGCCTTCCTGTTTATTTTATACTCACACTCTTCCTTCCTCCCCTGACCTCTTATTTCTTTTGGAATAAAGCAAAATTAAATCTCTTCATTTTAACTGGCTAGTAAGTAAATAGGAATATTATTTTTATTACATGAAAAAACAAAACAAAGTGTTTCCACCTGAGGGTGAGCATAAATCTTTTGATGATGAAAGTCATCAGGCCTTACCAGGGCTATCACAACATTCCCTTGATGTCCCAGCTGCCTGGATATGCATTTGGAGCTCTTCTTGTGCTGGAAAATGTAAGCTAATATTCCATAAGAAGATTAGTCGAGTTCCAGAGAGTACAACTATGTGAAGTTTCTGATGCTCTTTCTCCAAAAGATAGCCATTGGGTGGCAAGCTACAAACAGACAACAACTGAAGGGCAGGGCAAATATTTTTGCTTCAGGCGTTCTGCCTGTTGAAGTGGAAACCATCTTTCAAAGCCTTCTCCAGGAATCTCAGGTTCTCCAGTTGGAACTGTCTTTGCCTCGTCTCGTTTTAGGTAGCACTCAGTACTTAGAGCACTGGCCAGAGGCTGCCTCGACTTAGCAAACGTAATGCCATGGCACATTCACATAATGCCTTTCCCTTCCCTTTGGGCTTAGAAGACAACCTCAAACCCCAGCGGGCACTGCATAGGTGTTTCGTGAAATCTAACATTTGTTTCAGAGTATTAGAGAGCCACAGAAACCCCTCTGAGTAATTACTATGGCAGTAAATGGCTCAGCTCCCTACTACCTGAAACCCAGGAGGATCTTGGTAGTATTGCAGCTTGAGTTTGAAGCCAGCTGTGACTGCACCTTTTTTTCTGATCAACTCACATTAGCCTCCAGAGGAACCTGAAACTCCTAGTGCAGAAATGCAGGTGATCACACACTGCCACCATAGGGAAATGGCTGTCACTGACACTATTTCAACATTCGGAAGAGGTTCCAGGTAAGTGGAGATACAATAATAGTTTCCAGAGATGCAGAGAATGCTGCCGGTCCAGTGATTGTCCCCATCTAGCTGGGGGATAATGAAAAGTGCCCTTTCTTTCATTCAAATCGCTTCCTCCTGTTGGTTTTTTTTTTTTTCTAAAGAAGAGCACATTACCTACTCAATAATGCAAAGTTACAGCTATACTGTGTTTGTTAAGGAAGAAGCTCATTGTTCTAAATTTATTGTTAATGCTTTTTCCTTAGGACAATTTTATTACATAAATTTATAAAATAAAATTTTAAACTCACAAAGACCTATGTGGAATTTTAAATATTTCCTATAATTATCTCAAAATAACATATGGATTAGCAAACAGCCCAGAGTAGACGATACTAATGGAGATATTTACAGAAAAAAAAGTACACATGAAATATTGTTTGGCCAGGTTTAATACACACAGAATACACTTTAATACTTTCATATGGTCTGAATAATATCCCCATATTGATTTTTTCCTTGTTTCTACCAACTCCACAGCAAATGTACGACAATGGCTCATTGATTTATTGTGAGTGTAGCAATGGGTTTATAACGGCATGAATCATGCCGATTGCTCAATTCACCACATGCCTTAATAAAAGTTTTACTTTAATAAAACTGAACTAAGGCAAATATGCCCAGAGGCTGGCCTGACATTCCTTATACATTACCCTGCCTCAGGAAATTATTGCCATATATTTTACAGCAGCTACAGTAGGCTGGGGGATCAGGATTAAAATGTACTAACTACTGTGATATTTAACAGAACTCCTGTGTTCCCAGTTAACCCTCACAGGTACAAAATGAACAGAGCAATTAGGAGACAACACAGCGCAGGGAACAGAACTGGACTGGGAGGCAGGCAATTATGGATCAGCGCTGGCCCTTTTTACTCCATGTGTGTCCCCTAAGCTCTGTTCATTGGAGGTGGAAATATCTCTTCTGCTTCCCTTCCAGATTTGCTGTGAGCGTCAAATGAGAAAGAGAAAGTGCAGTGCTTGATAAACCACAAATGCTCTGCAAGCATTAAGTTGGCGGTGTCACCCTGAGGGACAGAGTCTGCAAGGCACACAAGCACCAACTCCCAGCCCTGTGAACTCTGTCTATGGCAAGACCAAACTTCCTGGTTAATAACAATGCAAAAATAACAGATATTATTCTATTTACAGATGTTTAGGGGTCAAAAAGTGAAAAAAGCCAATATTCTAGTAGTGTTACATTATTCTTTTATAAACTAAGCATTGTTTTTTGTATTCTCTAGTAAGAGTTGAAAACACCCCTACTGCACCTGCGTTTTGTTAGAAAAACTTCACCTGGGGTGTGAGAATGCAGGCCAAATGCATTGTGGGTGCTGAGGCAGTGAATTATCACCTGCTCATTATTGCTCTGGAAGAAATTATAGTTAGACTGTCTGTATACTATTCAGTGCTGATTGGTGCAATGTATATTAGTTCATAAGACCAAGGAAGCCTCTTTGGATTTGCTAATCAATACCAATCACTTAGGCCTTATTATAGAATATGTAGTAGCATAAAGAGGTGGTATGATCCTGTGCAAAGAGCTTGGGCTTT
The DNA here is from genome assembly GCF_000001405.40 of Homo sapiens. NCBI lineage: Eukaryota > Metazoa > Chordata > Mammalia > Primates > Hominidae > Homo > Homo sapiens. The sequence continues at coordinate 19,540,343 of NC_000002.12, read as the reverse complement.
GGCAAAATTTTGACAGCTTTGGGCCTGCTGCATGATCTTGGGCCAGGTACAAAATCTCTCCGGGCCTTGGTTTTCATATCTGGAAAATGGGGGTTTTGTTGTTGAATTAACAAATGTAAAATGGGCTCATAGTAGACACTTAAAAATGCAGTTCCCTGGACCCACTCTCATGTATTTTGAAGTAATCCATCTGCATCTCTCTGAGTGGCCTGTCCCCCTCACACATAGCTCTTTTCTCTTCCCACACTGGGTCTCATTTCACGTGCACAGCAGCCCACTAGGGAAGGCCCTGCTATGCCCAGCATCCGCCTTAGGTTCAGATGGGCTTCCTCTCTGCTCCTGAAGCATTTTGATCACTTTCAGCTTGTGTTCACCACAATATTTGCCTTTCTCCCCAGTTAGAACCTGGAGGAAAGAAACTGTGTTTTGTTCTTCCCAACTTTGTTCCCTTAAGGTTTAACATTCTGTCAGGCACATAGATGATGGTCAAAATAGTAAGTAAATGACTGAATAAAGAAATGACAAATGAATGAATGATGTACAGCCAGTTCACATTCTCAAAGAGTATGTGCCTTCACAAAAGTGAACTTGATCATAAGTTTTGAAAATGAACTCAGGACATACTAGATCAGCCCAAACTCAATTTACAATTCAAAGTTGCTGCTTCTAAGGTAGGATAACAACAATTACACATGACTAGTATTTATTGAACACTTACTATGTGCTAGGCACTATGCTAATCACTCTGCATATCTCCTGTCGTTAGTCCTTGCAAGCACTCATGACCCATGCATTTTTATTATTCCCACGTTACAGATTAATACACTGAAGCTTAGGGGGGTTAAATAGCCTTCCCAAAGTTGCACAGCTGCCAGTGGCTGAGCTAAGATTTGAACTGTGTCTTTCTGATTCACAGACCTGCGTTCTAGCTCCCTTGTCGCCCTGAGAAAAGACCAGTGAGTCCTGATGGATACCAGTAACATTGACAGCCGCAAAGGAGTTAATGTTTGTATATACGGCTTGTACTGTAGTCTTATAGTGAACAAAACTCACTGTTACATAGTTGCCTATGTGAGTTCCACTTCCCCTGATCCGTGGTCTGAAGCTCTACCACTTTTTTTCTCATTCTCACCCAAGAGGGGCAGCTGAAATGAAACCCACCGTCATCAACCAGGAACTGAACTCTCAAAAGAAATGAAGAATCCAGGGGCAACGGCAGTCTCGCTATTCATTAATGGGTTTATTGAGAACTCTCTTGACATTGAGCTGTAACTACAACATTTAAGAAAATCTCAAATTTGAAAATAAATAAGTTGGCTGACATACAGACATTTTACATATGAATTTAATAAAATCAATTTTTCTTTTTGAAATATTTGGTAATCTCTAAAATATATCAACTGCAACCCAGGAACATTGTATCCCAAGTTGTGATTCATGAAATGAAACGGAAATGTATTATGTAATTCAGTGGGGAGTGTCCAGCACAGAGCTCATTAGGGCTGTTGCTGGTGATGTGGACTGCAGTTTGGAAGCTCTGTGGTTTGGGCACGCTTCTCACAGTCCTTACCTCCCCTTCCTCCGTGGACATTTTAACCAAATATCGTCACCCTTTTAAAAATATCATTCTTGAGCATTTTGCCCACAGATGAGGATAATTCAGGGGAAGACGTAGGAAAAACTCTGAATTGTTTCCTATCTCCTCTTGCTTTACCATTAACCTATCTCGTAATGAGTCAGGCTCAGAACTGACTCATGGCCTTTCTATGTAGTTCCTGGATCCAGACCAGGCCTAGCCCATATATTGCACAGGTGGACACCATGGTGTCATCTGAGGTGAATGCAGCCCAGAGGAGAAAAAGGGACTTCCCCAGAATCATACGGTTCTTTAATGTCAGAGCCAGAACTGACTCTGAAATCTCTGGATTTTTTTTTTTTTTTTTCAGTTCATCGCACAGCCTGAACTTGTAGTAAAAGCATAGTTTTCCCTACATATGGTAATTTCCATGAAAACAAATAAAAAAGTGAGGAAAAAAGCACTGATCTGTAAAATACTTTTCTTTCAATCCTATCTGAGATTTTATGGCACTTCTTTGTTTAAAATTTTTTTTATTGAGATAAAATTTACGTTGCATAAGATTTGCCATTTTAGCTATTTCAGAATTTACGATTCAGTGGATTTTAGAACATTTATAATGGTGTACGGCCATCACCACTACCTAATTCTAGAATTTGTTTTACCCCAAAAGAAACCCTGTACCTGTAAAGTGTTCACTCCTCCTCTCCCTCTCCCCTGAAACCCTGGCAACCATTAATCTACGTTCTGTCTCTATGGATTTACTTATTTTGGATATTTTATATAAATGGAATCATACACTTTGTGGCCTTATGTGTCTGGCTTCTTTCAGTCTGGTCCTTGCTTGGTAGTGGTGAATTCTCTCAGCATTAGTTTGCCTGGAAAAGACTGTATCTTTCCTTCATTTATGAAATTTAGTTTCAGTGGATACAAAATTCTTGGCTGAGAATTGTTTTGTTTAAGGAGGCTAAAAATAGGACCCCACTCCCTTCTAGCTTGTAGGGTTTCTTCTGAGAAATCTGCTGTTAATCTGATAGGTTTTCCTTTATAGGTTACCTGATGCTTTTGCCTCATAGCTCTTCTTTCCTTTGTCTTGACTTTATATAACCCGATGACTATGTGCCTAGTTGATGATCTTTTTGCAATGAATTTCCCACGTGTTCTCTGAGCTTCTTGTACTTGGATATCTATATCTCTAGCAAGGTTGAGGAAGCTCTTCTTGATTATTCTCTCAAAGACATTTTCCAATCTTTTAGATTTCTCTTCTTTCTCGGGAAACCAATTATTCTTAGGTTTGGACGTTTAACATAGTACCAAACTTCTTGGAGGCTTTGTTCAGTTTCTAAAATTCTTTTTTTTCTTTGTTTTTGATGGATTAGGTTAATTCAAAAGCCTTGTCTTTGAGCTCTGAAGTTATTTCTTCTGCTTGTTCAATTCTATTGCTGAGACTTTCCAGTGCATTTTGCATTTCTCTAAGTGTGTCCTTGATTTTTCAGAAGTTGTGACTGTTTTCTATTTATGCTACCTACTTCACTGAAGAATTTTCTTTTCATATCCTGTATCATTATTTTGATTTCTTTAAGTTGGACTTCACCTTTTTCTGGTGCCTCCTTGATTAGCTTAATAATCAACCTTCTGAATTCTTTTTCTGGCAATTCAGAGATTTCATCTTGGTTTGGATCCATTGCTGGTGAGCTGGTATGGGAGTGTTAACGAACCTTGTTTTGTCATATTACCAGAATTGTTTTTCTGGTTCCTTCTTATTTGGGTAGACTGAGGGAAGATCAAAGGGAAGATCTGGGATTCAAGGGCTGTTGTTTAGATTATTTTGTCCCACGGGGTGCTTTAGTGATGTGGTGTTCTCTGCCTTCCCCTAGGAATGGGGTTTCCTGAGATCTGAACTGCAGTGATCGTTTTTGCTCTGTTGGGTCTAGCCACACAGCACAGCTACCGAGCTCTGGGCTGGTCTGGAAAGAGTCCTGTGATGTGACCCATTTTCAGGTCTTGCAGCTGTGGATACCAGCACCTGCTCTTGTGGGGGTAGCAGGGGAGTGAAGTGGACTCTGTGAGGGTTCTTGGTTTTGTTGTTTAGCGCGCTGGCTTTGTATTGGTTTGGCCTCCAGACAGGAGGTGGCAATTTCAAGAGTGTATCAGCTGCAGTCCTATAGGGAGGATGCAAACTTGCCCTAGAGACACCTGGGTTAAGTATTCAGGTTTCTTAGGCAGTGGGCAGGGCCATAGAGCTCCTAAGAGATTATGATCTTTGTCTCTGGCTACCAGAGTGGGTGGAGAAAGACCACCAGGTCGGGGCAGGGATAGGCATGTCTGAGCTCAGCTTCTCCTTGGGTGGGACTTGCTGCATGTGGGAAATGGGGGTGTGGTACCCAGTTCAATGGAGTTACATTCCCAGGGGGATTATGGCTGCCTCTGGTGAGTCATACAGGTCATGAGGGAAGTGAAGAAAAGCCTGCAGTCACAGGCCTCATCCCACTCCTATACAGCCCACAGTCCTAAAGGCCAATCTCACTCCCACCATGCACCCCAACAGCACCAGGGCTGAGAGTTTGAGTCTATTTCCGGGCAGCCAGTGACCAGGGCTGAGAACTTGCCCCAGACCACGAGCCTCCCCCATTGAGAAAGCAAGCAGACTCACAGTTTTTTGGCATCTCAGGGAGTCTGCAGTGGTAATCCAGTTCCTTCAAAAGTCTGTGGATTCTCTTGGCTTTCTTGGTATGTTCATGTGGTAGTTCTTGGAGCAAAAGTTTACGATATGAGTCTCTACATGCTGCTCTGCCCATTTGAGTGGGAGCTGCAAGTTAGTCCTACTTCCTGTCCACCATCTTAATCCCTTCATCTCCTTTTTTGTTTTGAGGAAATTATTTTCTATTCCTAGCTTGTAGATTGATTTTTTTTAATCCTGGAAGGGTGTTGTATTTTTTTTTTTTTTTTTTTTTTACTGCTCTTTCTCCATCAATGAGGTGATCATATGGGGTTTCCCTCCTTTCTTTCTATTAATATAGTATAGTACCTTGGCTTCTTTTCTTATGTTGAACCACCCTTGCATTCTTTGAATAAATGCAATTTGGTCATGATATAAAATCCTTTTAATGTGTTGTTGGATTCAGTTTGATAATATTTGTTGAGAAATTTTGCATCTATATTCACAAAGGATATTGGTTTATAGTTTTCTTTGGCTTTAAAATCAGGGGAATAATGGCTTCATAGAATAAATCAGAAAGTATTTCATCCTCTTCTTCCAAGTTTTGGAAGAATTTGAGAAGAATTGGTGTTACTTTTACAAGCACCTTTAGTAGAGTCCACCAATGAAACCTGGGATTTTTTTTTGTTGGAAGTTTTTTGATTACTGATTCAATCTCTTTACTTATTATAGGTCTGTTCAGGTTTTCTATTTCTTTTTGAGTCACTTTTGGTAATTTTTTCCTTCTAAGAATTTATTCATTTTATCTTGGCTATCTTACTTGATTGCATATAAATGTTCGTAGTATTTTCTCATAATCCTTTTTATTTCTGTAAGCTTATTAGCAATATACCCACTTTTATTTGTGATTTTAGTAATTTGTGTCTTCTCTTTTTTCTGGGTTTGTCAGGTCAATTTTGTTGATTTGTTTTTCAAAGAATCAACTTTTTTTTTTCTTTTCTCTATTTCATATATCTTCACTCTTTTTATTTTCTTAATTCTGCTAGCTTTCAGTTTAGTGTGCGCTTCTTTTTCTAGTTCTGTAAGGTGTAAAGCTAAGTTATTGGTTTGAGATCTTTCTTTTAAGAAATATAGACACATAATCATATATTCTATGTAAGCACTGCATTCACTATATCCTATCAGTTTTGGTATGCTGCGTTTTTAGTTAGATTTGTCTCAAAGTATTTTCTAATTTCTCTGTGATTCCTGTTTTGATCCATTAACTGTTTAAGAGTGTGTTGTTTAATTTTCATACATTTTTGGAATTTTCAGATTTTCTTCTGTTACTGATTTCTAGTTTCATTCTGTTGTAATTAGAAAGGATACTTTTGTATGATTTCCATCTTTTTAAGTTTATTGAGACTTGTGACCTCACATATGATTATTCTGGAGAATGTTTTATGTGTTCTTAAGAAAATATGTCTCCTGTTGTTGTGTGGAGTGTTTTGTAGATGTCTGTTAGGTCTAGTTGGTTTATAGTATAGTTCAAGTCTTGTACTTTCTTACTGATCTTCTGTCGAGTTGTTCTACTCATTATTGAAAGCAGGGTATTACACTCTCCAACTATTATTGTGGAATTTTCTCTTTTTCTCTTTAATTCTGTCCATGTTTCCTTCATATATTTTGGGGTTCTGAAGTTAGGTGTGTATATATTTTTAATTTATATGTCTTCTTAATAAATTGGCCTGTTTATCACTATACAATATCCTTTTTTCATCTCTTGTAGCAATTTTTGGCCTTAAACCTATTTTATATGATATTCATATAGATACTTAAGCTCTATTTTAGTTATTGTTGTATGGAATGTCTTTTTCTGCCCTTTCACTTTCAAGCTGTTTTGTATCTACAGTGAGTCTCTTGTAGACAGCATATAGTTGGATAACTTTTTAAAAAATCCGTTCTTCAATATCAGCCTTTTAATTAGAGAATCTGAGTCTTGCATTTAATATAATTACTGATGAGGTAAAACTTACTTCTGCCATTTTGTTACCTTTTACTCCATATGTCATATTTTTTTTTTTGTTGCTGAATTCCTCCCTTACTGTCTTCTTTCGTGTGAAATTGATGTCTACTAGCATAACATTTTGATTACCTCTTTATTTATTTTACACTGCGTTCTGCGTTAGTTATTTTATTAGTGGTTGCCTTGGGGATTACAATTAATGTCTTCATTTATAACAATCTAGTTCAAATTAGTACCAAAATAGTTTCAATGGTATATAAAAATTTCCCCCTATATAGCTTAGTTTTCCCTATTGAATTACATGTTTATATATTGTATCCCAACTGACATAGATTTATATTTATTGTTTTATGTAGTTGTGTTTTAAATCACATAGGAAAAAAGAGAAGTTACAAACCCAAAATACATTTATTCTAACTTTTATATTTTTCTATTTATTTATCCTTACTAATATTCTTTATTTCTCCATTGGGATTCAAGTTATTGACTCTTGTCCTTTCACTTCAGTCTGAAGGATTCACTTTAGCATTTCTTGTAGAGCATGTCTGCTAGTATTAAACCCTCTCAATTTTTTACTTATCTGGGAATGTCTTAATTTATACTTTGTCTTAAAAATAGTTTAATTGAGATATAGTTCATACACCATATATTTTACCTGTTTAAATTGTACGGTTCAATGGCCTTTACTGTAGATATATATGTAATCATTACCAGAGTTTATTGTAGAACATTTTCATCACCTCAAAAGACAGCCCATACCATTTAACTATCCCTTCTCTCTGGTTTCTTCTAAATAATTAATAACAACATTTATTTTGGCTTATGAATTTTTTTATCATATAGTGTCAGAAACTCAAGCTATAATTTCAGCTGTAAAAGATCTTACACTGTATCTTAGGAGAAAAAAAACTAACAATTATGCAACAGCCTGGTTCTGTCACTTTTAAGCTTCAAGACTGTGTCAGGTTGCATTTTTTAAAGATGGCCACAATAACATATCTCATCCCACATGTTCTTCTGCAGTATGACCTCATCACTCCACCAGCAAGAAGTAGAGTCTGATTCCTTTCTTGAATCTGGACTGATCTCAGTGACTCATTTGTCATCATAGACTGAGGCAGACATGACACTGCATGACTTCAGAGGGTATGTCAGAAGAAGACTTGCATTCTATGCTTTCATCTCTTCTCACTGTCTGGTTGTTTCCTCTCAGAACATGTCCTGTAGGAACCCAGCCATCAGGCTGTGAGAAGCCCATGACCCATGGGCAGGCCATGGGTAGGTGCTCCAGTTGATAGTCTCAGCAGAGCTCAGCTTTTGCATTATCCAGCTCTAAGGACCAGACATATTAATGAAGGAGAGTCCAGATGATTCCAGCTACTTAGCATTCAAGTCACCGCCTAGTCAGTCCAGTCCTCCTAGCTGAGATGCAACTATCATGGAGCAGAAAGAAGATACCCCTACTCTGCTTGACCTTCAGAATTCATGAGCATAATAAAACAGTTGCTGTTTTATGTCACTAAATTTGAGGTGTTTATTATGCAGTAACAGATAAATAGAGCACAGACCTTGGGCAATTTATTTAATTCTTCTGTGCCTTAGTTCATTCTGTAAAATGGGGATGTAATTGTACTTACCTTAAAGGGTTGTCATTAAAATTAAATGAGCAAATGCATGTACAGCACTTAGAATAGTTCTTGAGACATAGCAAGGACTCAGTAATTGCTGTTAAATAGAGAACAGTTAGGAGCTAAAGGAATTAAGAGGAGGAGGAGCTGATATAGTTGAATCTGTCACCAAGGAGACCTAACTTGGGCTGAGTCCCAAAGGGTGAGTATTTTCAATATGCAGAGGTTGTCAAGGAGATTGGAAGGCTATGTGCTTAAGCACATGAACCCCAAAGTAGGACTGGCATATCGGTGGGACAGAACAAGGACCAGCATGAGTGGTGCATGTGTTGGGGAGGTGTGAGGGAAACTGAAGTGGTCGGGACCCTACTACAGAAGGCATCAAAGGCCGAACAAAAGCCTCTGAGTTTTCTGTAGCAGATAACATGGATCAAATTTCTCTTGTGGGATGTTATTCTTCCAAGTAAATTATCATTGTAATGATGGTCTCTACTCATATTCATCAGACTGTTCTCTAAATCTGTTGAAGCCCGTGGGTTCTAATTAAAATGGAAACAATGTGCAACACTGAGTAGTTGGTTGAATTTTGGTGTAAATAATTTATTCAAATTACAAATATGTGACTACTGACTAATGAGATGCATTGAAAGATTTGATGAGTTAGTCATTTCTGGACAAATTGGGTGTCAATGTACAGGTAGTTCCATAGTAAGAAGAGTCCCCTGGCTTTCTCCTTGTGGCAACCAGACACAACAAGACACCCGTCAGATCAGATCCCTGCCAGTGTTCTGGTTTGTTATAACTACTATGATGGCCTTTGAAGAAGCCTTGAGTAATTACTCCAATAGTTCTTAAGGTACAGCAGGCTGCTGGAAGTGTCCAGCATTCCTCCAATCTCTATCGCTGCCCTGACATGACACACACACACACGTGATTACTCTCCACCTGGTGTCATAAGAGTGTCAACTCTTATGCCCCTTTGGACTGAGACTCTCTCTTTCCTGTGGTCCTAGGAGTGACATGTGGAGGCAATAAAGTTTCCTTCAGTTTTAGCCATTTCTGGTGCTTTGTTCACTGCATAGTGCACATTTAATTGGAGGAAAAGAACCTGGCCTTAGTCTCATCTTCACAGACTAAAGCAAATGAAACCAAGGAGGCCTTGAAAAGGAAGGGTTGGATATCATGTATGGTATTTGGATAGCTTGGTCTGGTAGTATATGTCAGATGGGTCACAGGACCAAGACTGGAAGCAAGAAGAGAGCTTGCACAGTGCCTACTGGGCACGCAGCAGCTATTTAGTAAATATTTATTGAAAGAAGGAATTAATTAATTGTGTATGTCCAGTTGTGAACCTATGGAGAACCTATCTAGAATGGTGGCTTTAGAAAAAATGAAGGGAAGAGAGATTGCTATAGATTGTCTTTCTTTAAGAGGGAAAAACATAGATGAACCTGATGACAGAGCAAAGGTGAAGATGGCACTCTGGTTTTTGTCCTGGGAAACAGAAGTGGGGAAGAATGCAATGGGGAAGTAAAGTGCTTGGAAAGGTGACTCTGTGCCTCCAGAGTTTGTCTTTATATTCGCCACTATGACATGCTATACATGTCAAATCCAAAGGTTTGAAAGTTAAAAATGAGAGAAATAAAAGGAGGGTTGTTGTCCTATTCCTGAAGGAAACATGCAGTGCTTAGATAAGCACCTCTGATCTTAATCCCTTTCATGACAGCGTGATCCCAGCAAGAATTAAAATGTAGCAGAGACATTATAATAGAATGATATGCATAGGGCTCTCTGCTCAGGTTCTTGCAATAACATCTCTTGAATAATTAATTGATCCAATTATTTCTTCATTCAATGACTATTTTACTGAATAGCTGCTACAAGCCAGGCAGGCACTATATAAGTAAGTGCAGATATGATTATAGCAAGTCATAGTTCCTTTCCTCAAGGAAAGACTGGGAAGTAAATACATTATCTTAATACAGTGGGATAGGTGCTTCTCTGGGGCTCAGTGCTAGGAGTGATAGGACCACAGAGGAGAGGCCAACAGCTGAAGTTAAAGATCAGGGATCTGTTCTTCCCAGCTGAGAGCCATAGGGTAGTCAGGTGTGTGTGAGGCAGATGAGAATTGGGGTAGGGGAGACATGCCAGACAGATAAACAGCATGTGCAGGCATCCAGATATTTGATTAATACTTTTCAGAAATTATTAATTGTTCAATGTAGTTGGAATTGAGAAATCATAGCTGAGAAGGGAGAATGGGAATTTGAGTCTGGAGGTAAACAGAGATTGGATCCTGAATGACCTAGCAGCTCTGATAAAGATATCTGGACTTTATGGTGGAGAAGACTGAGCCATTTAACAGTCTTACCTTATAAATGACTGTGTGTGTGCAAGCATGCACACACACACACACACCCCAAGATAAATGTATAGATTCCGGGGAGTTATATTACCCATTAAAGGCTACACTTTGATAATCCCTTGAGCACATACAAAATTCATTATGCATATTACTTTTAAACTGTGTGTTTGACTCTGTCTGCCATCTGGGAGGAAAGGGTAATCGGAGGTTATTTACACATGTACTTCAGGAGCTGGTTGGGAAACATGGAATCAGGATCTCCTTTAAAGGGAGAGTAAGTATTCTAGAGTGTGGAGGTTATTTCCTTAACACAGAGGGTGGTTCTTAGTAGAGAAAGTGGAGTGTGCTAGTTGGGTCCAACTCATCAGCTTAAAACGAGAAAAACCCAATTTGTGAAATTGCCAATTCCCACAGCAAGTGCTTGCAGAGAGGGTTTGTGAGGTTCCTTTTGGAGGTAAGTGAAGTCTGCAACATCAAGGGTTTTAGAAAACAACAACAACAAAAAAGGGATAAGCAGTCATATTTTCTGGAGGGCAAAGAAAAGCAAAACTCTTAGTGATTTTCCTTCAAATGCTTGAGTTGAAGAGAAGACCCAGTTATTCTTTAGGGGCCTTCATCAACTCCCGAGTGGGAGGCAGGGAGAGTGTTATCAGATAGCAGAGAGGATTTGATCTTTGCTGATTTGGAGGCAGAAGTCATTGCATAACCAGCCAAGAGCCTAAGTGAAGACAACTGTCTGGAGTATTAGGGACCAGTTACAGGAAAGCAAAACCTATAGTGGGAGAAAAATGGATTCAGATTTATGGGCTTGATGGAAAGAAAGGGGATCCAGATAGGAAATCGTGCCCTCCCACCTTGGCTGCTCTTTAACTAGGGGTTTTTTCTTGGGGTGGAATTCCTGACAAGCCAAGTTGTTCAGTTTCCTTCCTCAAGCATGACCCTGGAAGGTGTCTGCTGGTTTTAAAGACATCCCCCAATTACCCACAGGAGGGAATTGAGCAAGCAGCTGCAGGAAAGCAAATCTAAGACCCAACCAAAATGCAGAGTTGGGCAAGCAAGTCCTCCTAGGGGGTCGTGGAGGGGGACAAGTATTGTGCTTAACTGGCTAATGGGGAATACAGGAGTCTTTGAGTGAGGGGCCAGTGGTATTGGGAGAGCAAGTTGCTTTTTACTCTCTAAATTTTGATTCAATGACAGCTGGCCCAAGAAGTCTTGTGTGCAGGTCTCTCTCAGCTGGCCATGGGCAAACAATCAGTACTCTTTGTGCATTTCTGTGCAGCTCTCCCTTCTAGAAAATTCCATGCTCAGAAACCCACTTTCCACTCTGTGCTTTCCAAAGTTGATGCCTACACCACATCCTGGCCTGCTCTTGACTACTCCTCCTGAAGGACCCTGCCTGGACTCCTTAGCCACCTGAGAGAGGCTCAAGCTCCTCAGCAGGTTGGGACCTGACTTTGCTTTCTGAAAGAGAAAGGGGAATGTGTCCAGGTCTCCTGACCTTGAGCAAGTAAATAGGAGCCCTGTGATCTTGAGCAAGTAAATCCAATTAATTGACCCTCAAGTCCTTCATATGCAAAATGGGCATAATGATGGCTCCCTGCTAAAACAGAAAGAAGTTTGCACAGAAGCTGATTTCTGGTAAAAGCAGTGTTAACATTTGCAACATATCCTTTGTTTAGGAAGCATATACTCACATGAGACTGCTAAACCATGCAATTGAAAGGCCATCTCCTTGGGCACTGATATTTTTTAAAATTTAAAACATCAAATGTAATTCAAACTTTTGCAGTGGTCCAAATCGAAGAGGGCCCAAGGCTATTAAAGTTTATAGCAGAAGTTTGATGCATTTGTATTTGTTGCTGTGATTTGTGTGGAGCAAAGAAGAGAATAAAAGATACTGCAGGGGTTTCAGTTTGAGGAAACTCGATGGCTCCAGGGAAGCTCTCCATCCCTCAGATGTCAACTTGCACTTACTTTACCCCAAAGAGAGGACCCAATCTAGCCATGACAGGCCTTATCAGGAATTCTTTGCAGCCTTGAAATAGCCCAGCTGTGTTGGACCTGTTCTAGAATTAAGATTTTTGACATGGCGGTCATGTAATATAGAACAAAGATTGTTAATTTTCCATGTGAACTTGGAGGAAACTGCTAGGCTTTTGTGTTGAATCTCAAGATTCTAAGGTCAATATTCGGTGAGGTTTGTCCAAGTTCCTGTTTTTTATTTCCACCCTTTAGAAGTGTGGATAAGAAGAGTGACAGAATATTATAATGGAAAAAAGCCAAAACAAAGCACACATGCACACAAACACCCACATACACTCACACACACCCCCACTGGACAATTAATGAGCCCAGAGTAGAAAGAAAGAGAAGAATATGAGAAGACAATAAATAGGAAAAGAAAATAACTGTATAATGATGTTTCAATGACATTTATTTCAACAAATATTTTATGAAATGCAATTCAACCACAGTGATTTGAGCTTTGCTTTTGAAATACACTGTAATAAGATTTGACTTGAAGTTTTTGATACTTAAGTATGTGCTTAATGGTATTTTCAAAAATGATCATCAATCTACTTATCTAAGTCTTTATTTTTTTCATCTTAACAAAACAATAACTATGCTCTGTTTTTCATATTTTGTGTGAATGATCCAAAATATGCCATCTGAAATAAATTCAAGGTAAAAAGAAAAAAAATAAAGAAAAGGACTGGTTCCCGCAGTCAGCAGCATGCAGATGAACACCTCCAGGAAGTTGCTTCCCCACCTGAAGAGAGGAAGCCCTGTGCTCGTCTTGGGCATGACGGGAAGAATTAATGGGATCTATATTTATGTATTTTGGAAGTAGAAGTGTTGTAAAATAAAATGTTTTTAATTAGTCAATTAAAAAGAATCATGTCCAAGGAACTTTTCTAGACCTTAGTTTTCCTCCAGATAGGAAAGGAAAATAACAACTAAACAGATTTGATGACCCAAGTTCCAAACATCAGGTTTATGGCTCTGATGTTTTTGATGCACATGTATCCTCTCTGACAGCAAGTTACTGAGAGCCTAGCTCCAGCAGATGGTCTCTGCCGACATTCTCCTCACACGCAGGCTTTGCTGACTATCCTGGCCCATTCTCCCTATTCTATCCTGTGGCTTCATCCAGGGACCTGCCGCCTGGGTGCTGGCCTCTGGTGTACCTGGCCTTCGCACGCTGATTCAAAACAACTGGGGAGTAGACTGTATCTTGTATATCCAAGTCTGCCTCAGATTCTAGCATAGAACTAAAAGTAAATATTTTTGGCCAATTGTTTGATGAATAAAAATCGTTTTAAAAATTAAAATAAATTACAAGAACTCAGCTCAAAAATAAAATCATGCCGTGAACTTGCTAAGTGTTTCAAATGAAACTTCACTAGCCCAGAACTATTAACTCATTCCTCCAGCACACAGAGGCAGAAACAGGTCAGATTTAGGCTTCATCATTCATGTTTTTCTAGGAGGACTTGTCATTTTTTTCTAAGATCTATGTAGATAAAATAAGGTAAAATTTTTTAATTCAGACATAAAAACTGAAAAATGGAGAAAATTGATAACCTCTGTTTATCTTCACAACACAATGTACTTATTTGACAGATTTTTTTCCTCTCAATAAATTTCCATTTTTCTTTTATTCAGCTTTATGGAAGTATGATTGAAAAATAAAAATTGTATGTATTTAGTGCATGTAATGTGATGTTTTGATATATTATACCTTGTGCAGTGATTAGTACAATTAAGCTAATTAACATAGCCATCATCTTACTCAGTAATGACCATTTGTATGTGTGTTTGTGGTGAGAACACTTGAGACATTTGTTTCTTTTTTAAGGTTGAATAATATTCCATTGTTTGTATATAACACATTTTCTTTGTCCATTTATCTGTCTACACTTAGGTTGTTTCCGTATTTGACAATTGGGAATAAGGCTGCAATGAATATGGAAGTGCAAATATCTACTCAAGACAGTAGTTTTACTTGTTTAGAATATAGACCCAGATGGAGCTGAAGAATAAATTTCTATTTTTAAATAATACAATTTTTTTTTAAAAAGGAAAGAAAATTGTGGTGTGGAAGTGGTAGGGAGTAATGGAAAGAGGACTGGATTTGGCTTGTAAGTCTTAAGTATAAAAATAATACACTATCTATGGCAGACTTCCCTGAGTCTCAGTTTCCTCAGTTAAGTATAAATATAGTAATAAAATATGCCCTCACAACCTTGAAGGGTTTTGAATAACTCCAGTGATATAATGAATATAACAATGATTTATAAACTTTAAAGTACTTCACCATATTAGTTAATATTATTACAGAGATGAAACAAAGCTCCCCATATCTTTTGTAGAAAGTAGATTTGGCATTAGGCATGATTGTTGTATAATTTCAGATAAGCAGACCCACTTAGATCAGAGTAGGCACTCTGGAATTTTGAGAAATGAATGATCTAATCTCTTCTTTGTTTTTGTAAAATTGTCAGACAAATTGTTTCATGGTATTTTTTTTTTCTCTTAACATCTGGTTTTTCCTGGTTCAATCAGAGCTAGACATACCAAAAGAGTGTAGAAAATATTTTTGGGATATATTTGCAGACACGAGTCATTTGGATCTTTTCGTGCATTTTATGAGTTCTTATCTCAGCCCAGCCTAGACACTTGAGTCTTTAAATATGCCTCATGTACAAGATGATGTAGTTATCAGGTGAACCTATTTTACAGGCAACTTTATTAAGAAGTTTGTTGAGACTGTACTAGCCAAACTCCTTTACAATAGAAAAATGGTGACCAGTAGTATTCAGGTAATTTCCTATTATGGTATGGTAGGGAGAAAGCCTCACTGAGGAGGTGGTTCACCATGTGGAATGCCAAGCAAGAAGTCATGAGTCCTGCCCATATTAGCTCAACTGTTACCTCTCAATGCTGACCTCTGGCCCCCATGACCAGGTCTCTCAGACCCCACTTCCTTGCCATGAACATTCTGGCTGCCATTATCCTGGCTGTTGAGGCAGGTGTTGAGCTAGTGGCAGAAAGATTTGCCCTGGTGTCATTTCTTCCTTCCCTCCAGACCAAGGTCACCACTGCCTCCATAAGCTAAGGCATGAGCAACCAGTTCATCTAGGATTCTGTCTTACTCTGCAGTTCACCCCTATAGACTCAGTTGGACCTTTAAAAAGAGTATGCAGAAGAGAGTTACATTGTTAACCACCTAGCCAGTGTGCCACATGGCCTCAATGGGTGGAGTGTAGAATTAATGTGCACAGACCAAACTGCTGCTCAGCCCAGCAGGAGGAGTTTCGGTCTACAAATAACCAAGTAGTCAGTCAGTGCTCAGTGTTCAAACACTGGATGCTACATGAATGAATGAATGAATGAGTAGATAGCTGCCCACTGGTTTTCTCATGCATTTAGCCTTTGGATGTCAGTTTTCATTCATTCTTTCATTCATTCACACAATACAAAAAGTTGGTTGAATGCTTGTGGATTGGGCAATGTCAGGGTCCTGGGCACACAGGGTGACAAAAGAAGCAATGGATCCTGTGCCCATGGACCTTATAGTCTAGGAGGGGAGAGAAGCTTGAATCAAAAGGATACATATTCAAATATAAAACCATCACTGTGATAAATATAAAGGGAAAAGTATAAAGTGCTATGAGGGTATTAAAAGGAGGGACCCAACCCACCTGAGTGCCAGGAAGGCTGCCTGAGAAAGTGATGTTTGAGGTGAGATTGGAAGAGTTCGGATGCGTCAGCTCAGAAGAGAACTCCAAGCAGAAGCAATTACTCAAGCAAAGGCTGTTGCAGGAGAAAGCAAGTGCCCTGAAGAACTGAAAGAACTTGTGAGGCATGACATTAGAGTAAGAGGTAAGGTGATCCTGCTGAGGCTGGAAAGGTAGGCAGGGTCTGAACCATTAAAGGCTTTGTGGCTTGAATAAGAATTCTGGTCTTTAGCTCAAGAACAATGGGAAAACAGAAAGGATTTGAAAGCTTGCTATGAAGCATAGTTTGGAGGGGTAAGAGTGAATGTGCGACACCTGTTAGGAGGCTAGTGCTATAGTCAAAAGAGGCCAAGATTGTAGCTAAGACTAAGGCATGGCAGACAATGAAGACAAGTGGACAGATGGAGAAGTTGGTAAGGACTGACAAACCTTGTCACCAGATTAGATATTTATGTAATTGTGGGCTGCATCAACAATGACTCCTAGATTTTGGCTTGCACAGTTGAATAGGTGAGGGTGCCATTTACTCAGATAAGGAATTCTGGAAGAGAAACAGGTAAAGAAAAATCACCAGTTCCTCTTGCACATGTTGATACAGCGGTGCCTTTGTAGCATCTATGTGGAGACACAGAATGGGCAGTTGGATAAATGGGACAAACGCTCAGAGGAAAGGTCAGGGCTGCACATGTGGAGTTGATAGTCATTGCTACACAACTGGTAACTGAAGCCATGGACATGAATGAAATTGAATGAAGGGAAGGGGGATATTCCTGCTGATGGTCTTTCTCTGCCTTAACTACCAAGCTATGGGTTCCCAGCAACACCTTGATAGCTGCCTTCTCAGGACCCCGAGAATGTTTTTCACTCAGTCTTGTCAGGTTTCTTGCCAAATTACACAGGAGTGTGTGTGTGTATGTGAGTGTGTGTGTGTATATGCATGTGTGTGTGTGTTTGTGGGTGTGTCTTTATGTGTGTATATAGGTAAAGTCTGTCCTATAGATCTAGAATTGAAAAGTCACCCTAGACTGAGTTTTGATTTCATTTTCTAACACTCCTGTCTGCGAAGATTTTCAAAATGGAGAAAGTAGAGTAGCTTTTCCTGGGGTATAACTTGTTTCCTTTACCTTTGACTTTTTACAAAGCTCACACCTTCTTCCTTCAAGGTTCCCTACTGCTTGGGACTTTAAAAACAGTCTGATCTTGTTTCACATTTCCTCATAGTTTCACCACCCACAAACAACTGGATAGCTGTACTTTTTCTTTTTCCAGCAAGGTTTACTAGGAGTTGAACACCTACTCTTTATTTTCCCACCTGCCTTGGCATATGATTCTGATTCCCAGAATGAGCCTATTGGTTACAACACAACGTGGTTCTGGCACTCCATCCCCACAGGTGCCCAAACATTCTGGTCCTTTGAGAGGGCACTATCAGGGGTCTGGATCTTTCAATAGAATTGTATGGCTGGATTTTCATTGACTTTTGCTTCCTTGATTTGGTTTGTGTTGATGGGGAACACATTTTAAAAACGCTTTTCTCATCATAGTCCTCAGGCAGCCTTCCTGACTTCTCTAAATGTCTCAGAGAAAAGGTAGTTTTGCAGTGGCCAGAATGTGGACTTTGGAAAGGTGAGGGTTTCTGTTTGTGGCTGGTAATTAGCTTATCCTCTGCTATGATTCTAGGGTCTGCTTTTACTGTCTCTCATCTTGCAGTTCTAGATTGGAAAAAAATATATTTTACTTTGAATTTGGTTACCAACCAAGATAGGGTGAGTGCCTAGTATCTGCTGGGCTCATACCCTGGGGATACCAAGATGAGAAGGAAAGACGTGGTCCATGCCCTCGAGATGCACATTTGTGTAGTAGAGAAGACAGGAAGAAGACAGGAAGAAAGTGACTGACTCTAAGGTGATGTCATGACAAAGATGATAAGGATGCAACTAACCTGAAGAGAATAAAACATTCCACTGGTCATTTAAAAGTTATATGCTTTTCATTTTTACTTTTGTTTTTTTTAATTCAACTTTCATGTTGGATACAGGAGGTTCATGTGCAAGCATATTACATGGGTATATTTCACTCAGGTAGTGAACGTAGTACCCAATAGGTAGATTTTTCAACCCACAAATGCCTCCTTCTCTCCCCACTCTGGTATAATGGTCTTCAGTGTTTATTGTTTCCATCTTTATGTCCATGCATCTCAATATTTAGCTCCCACTTATAAAGGAGAACATACGGTATTTGGTTTTCTGTTCCTGTATTAATTTGCTTAGAATAATGGCCTCCAGCTGCATCCATGTCACTGCAGATGATGTGATTTCATTATTTTTTATGGCTATGTAGTATTCTACGGTGTGTATGTACCACATTTTCTTTATCCAATCCATTACTGATGGGCATCTAGGTTGATTCCATGTCTTTCCTATGGTGAATAGTGTGGTGATGAACACATAACTGCATGTGTCTTTTTGGTATAATAATCTATTTTCCTTTGGGTATACACACAGTAACGGAACTACTGGGTCTAATGGTAGCTCTGTTTTAAGTTCTTTGAGAAATCTCCAAACTGCTTTCCATAGTGGCTGAACTAATTTACATTCCCACCTGTGGGGTATAAGCATTCCCTTTTCTCCACAGCCTTGCCAGCATCTGTTGTTTTCTGACTTCAATAATAGCAATTCTGCTACTGAAAAAAAAATAAATAAAACAAAAACAATAGCCATACTGACTGGTGTGAGATGATATCTCATTGTGGTTTTGATTTGCATTTCTCTAATGATTAGTAGTAATGATCATTTTTTGATGTATTTGCTGGCCACTTATATGTCTCATTTTGAAAACTGTTCATGTCCTTTGTCCATTTTTTAATGGGGTTATTTGTCTTTTTCTTGTTGATTTAAGTTCCTTATAGATCCTGGATATTGGACCTTTGTTGGATGCATAGCTTGTGAATATTTTCTCTCATTCTTTATGTTGTATGTTTACTCTATTGATAGTTTATTTTGCTGTGCAGAAGCTCTTTAGTTCAAGTAAGTCCCACATCGATTTTTGATTTTGTTGCAATTGCTTTTGGAGACTTAGCCAAAATCCGTTGCCAAGGCTGATGTTGAGAAGGGTATTTCCTAGGTTTTCTTCTAGGATTTTTATAGTTTGAGGTCTTACATTTAAACCTTTAGAATTATTTTTTTATATGGTGAAAGGTAAAGGTCCAGCTTCATTCTTTTGCAAATGGCTAGCCAGTTACACCAGGACCATTTATTGACTAGGGAGTCATTTCCCCATTGCTTGTTTTTGTGGGCTTTGTCGAAGATCAGATGGCTGTGAGTGTGCTGCTTTACTTTTGAGTTTTCTATTCTGATCCGTTGGTCTATGTCTCTGCTTTTGTGCCAGTACCATGCTGTGTTGGTTATTATAGTTTGAAGTCAGGTGGTGTGATGCCTCCAGCTTTGGTCTTTTTGCTTAAGATTGCTTTGGCTGTTAGGGTTCTTTTTATGCTCCGTATGAATTTTAGACTAATTTTTTCTAATTCTATGAAGAATGACATTGGTAATTTGATAAGAGTAGCATTGAATCTATACATTGTTTTGGGTGGTATGGTCATTTTAATGATATTGATTCTTCCAATTCAAAAGGTATATATTTGAGGAACTGAGATTGGTTAGCCTACACAAAACAGCATTCACAGTTTATCCATTTGTGAAAGAACACATAAGGGAGGGAGGTAACAGATAGAAAGTCTGTATTATTTCAGAGAAGATAAGTAGGCCATAGAAGTTACAGGGGGTTAAATATGGCACTCTAGAAGAAATAAGCATCCCAAGAACTTGAGACATCTGATATGGAAATGAGCTGCTTCAGGACAGTGAACTCACAATGACAGCAGTGTGCAAACAGATATTGGATTACTGCCTGTCAAGATTGTCATAGAAGATACTGATTTGTGTGAAATACTGGACTAGGTCAGAGACTTTCAATTTATTTTCAAGTAGTGTAATTTTTTCAAATGATCTCTTACATGAAAGCATAAAATTTAAAATATGTATGTGTAAAAGGAAGACTGTTTGGTTGTACCCTACCTTATTGGTCTCCTCAACTCCCCCATCCCCTGCAATGACTGCCCCCACCCATGACATTTCCTCAGAATTCCAAGGACTTGAACAATGCCCCTCCCCCAACACACTGTTTAATATCTAAGGCCTATGATTCCTTTTGCTTCCAGGATTCCATGATTATTCTATATAGGAAGTTTTCATGTTTAAAATGAATCATTAGCTATGTTTCTTTTATTTTCATTTCTTTTTGCTTTAATCTCCAAACATTATGGAATTTCACAAATTAGGTTCAGGAATGTTTAGCCCAGAGTTTAGTTTAGGTCTGTTGAAACATAGATTTTGACCAGTTAAGATACAGAAATGATTTTTCTTCCAAAGGATGAATGTTTGCAGTCTAGTAATATATGTTTTAGACACAAACTACTTGAAATCAGATTGTTTGAGAATGAGGAAGTACAGCATTAAGTAACCAGCTCCAAAAACTTTGATCAACTTGTGTTTAGCATGTTATGGAATTATGTGTTTCTTTCAACTTTGCCTGGCCATAGAAGATCTTTTGAAGCTCACATGTAGGCAGTTAATCTTAACTGGGTTCATTGATTTATAACAGGGAGAAAAATGCTCTTGTGAATCCAAATAACTTACACTTGAAAAAGGTTAAGTCAAGTGATTTTGTCCATAAGCCACTAATAAAATTAAAGAGACGTCAAACAGATGCCTTGCGGGGGGGCGGCGGTGGGGGGTCACTGGTCTGCAGGTGCGAAAACTTGAGTTAAGCCGTTAATCAGCTTCAGAGACTTAACACGCTAACCTAAAAAAAAGATGGATACATCAAGCATACAATTTATTAATTAGCATGAAGAAAAAGATGGCGGATTTGATTTGAAAAATGAGACTTTTTAATCAGCTTTCTCGTGTATATGTTCTCTTAGTAGACCAAATTGCATCAATTTACAAAAGAGAGACATTGACAAGTATGTTCATTGCTGCCTTAGTTTTGGTGGCTGGGAGCAGAAGGCGTTCTGGTTGTGCATAGCTTGAAGAATATGTAGATAAAATATGGTGGGTGTGTTCACCTTGTAATATTATGAGTAACCTCTTAGGAGCAATGTGCTAGCTGCCACATAGCAACATGGATGCATTGAAAGACATATGATTAATTTTAAAAGGAAACAGTGAAATGTAACACAATACCATTTACATAAATTAAAAATAAACATAAAACAGAAGAATCACATTTTGTCAAAGCACATACAAACACATTAGAATGGTTGTGTATACAGGGAATACAGGCAGAATAGGAGCTGTGAAACGGGAATAAAAGTGAATGATGGCAATAATCAAACAATTAGCTATTGTACAGTATAAAACTAGTAGTATGTAACAGAAATGTACACAGTAAAGTTTTGAAATGAAGAAGACTGACATAACTGTGAGAATGAGAGAAGACTTCTTAGTGGAGGAAAGGCTTGAGCTGGCATAGAACAATAAGAAAAATTTGGAGAACTTAAATAATTCAGTGTAGCTGTCATGGGAGATGAGGTGAATGCTACAAGCCAGGTAGAGATCACAGACTGTCTGGTACTCCATGTGAGCAACTTGTGTTTTATCCCAGAGGCAATGGAACAAATGGAAGTTTCAAGAAGAGGAAAAGTAAGAATGGAGTAATACATAGACCACTCAAGAGGCAGGGTAGAGGCCACATTTGAAGAAATAAAACTGAAAGAGAGAAATCAGTTGGGATATTTAAAAGGAAGAGGATGCCTGTAATTAAGGAAGTAACAATGAAGATGGATGCTGGGGAAAGATGTGGGAAGTATTGAGGAGATAATGTTGATTGGACTTTGTGACTGATTAGATATTGAGAGGTGAGAAAAAAATTTTAGGATGGCCCCCAGTTTTCTGGCTTGGATGATTGGATGCTTAGTAGTGTTGTTAAACAACAGAGGGAACACAGGAGAAGGTTTAGGAGAAGACCTAGTTCAGTTTAGCATATGTTGAATCTGAAGCACTTGTGGGACCAAACAGCGATGTCTAATTGGTAATTGAATCTAGTTATCAGGAGAGTGGTCTGAGATAGGGATAGAAGTCTGTGAATTGCGGCAGGGAAAGAAGTGTTTTCCCTATTCCAAGCACCCGGTGTAAAGATAAAAAGGAAGGGAAAAAAGAACGAAGCACTGTGGAGAGTACAAAGGAATGGGTAGGGGAAAGAAGGGGCAAAGGAACGTATTTAGGGAATAATAGAAGAATGAGAGCAAGGGAAGAAGAAATCTGGAAAACAGAAGGAAAACTAGGAGAAGGCAATGTCCTGGAGATCTAGGGAGTTAAACTCTTGACGAACGTGGAGGAAAGGCTTTCTGCTACTCCGCATATCCAACCGTCAGCCTACCCTGCTAACAACTTCCCTGAAACTTGTGTCTCTGTGGTTCTCCATTGCCATCTTCATCTTCCGAGCCCAAACCACCAACTCTCTACTGTGACAGCCACTTAACTGTTCTCTTGCTTCTATTCTAATCTTAAATTACAACCAGAAGACCCTAGTTAAAACAAATTATATCATGCCACTTATCTGCTTATAAACTTTTAATCACCTCCCCTTATAAGCAGGGAAAAAAATCTATATTCTATCATGACCTACAAGAACCTCCCAAATCTGTCATCCATGAGATGATCTCTCTCTAACCCATCTCATGACACTTCCTTCTTTAGTCTCCATTGTCCTTTGTTCTCTTCCTAAGATGCAGCAACCTCTTTGCTTGCTCTTTCCTTTCCCCAAATGTTAGCATGGCTTTTCCATTCTTATTTTTCATGACTCTATTCAAATATCATATGCTCAGAGTAATCTTCCCTGACCACTCTATCCCTCCACTACTCTGTCTTCATCACCCTATTGCTTTATATTTTATTTCCTTGATATCACGTATCATAATAGGAATAAGACAGTCCTTGCCTTGTGCCAAACGCTGTGTTAAGTGCTATTTCATGTATTAACTCAATCATCTCAGTGATACTATCATGTAGGTACCTGTATCCATCTGGGTTCTTTCAGGAAAATGAAGCTACTATGGGAAAATGGAATTAATATAGGAGTTTTATGTGGGAGGATCTGGAGAAGTGAAGATTTGGAGGCAGTGGCAGAAGCAGTGGAGAGCAGGGAGAAATCCACTGATCGTGGGCATATCAGGGAAAAGTCTTAATCACAAAGTGAGAGCTTGTAGAGAGATCTGGAATCCTGTTGTGTCTGACTGCCATGAACTTCTGAGAACAGGCCTTTGATTTCCTTCTGTCTTCTAAATTCACATGAGTTTCTTGTAATGGGAAATTCTAGTATGGAACTATCCAGAGAAGGGGGTTCTGGGAAGTCAGTTCTCAGCCTTAAAAGGGCCTGGTGGTAATGGCGCAAAGCCAACAACAGACAACTAACAATAGTATTGTTATCTCCATTTCTAAGCAGAAGAAATTAAGGGAAAAAAAAATCATGCAGTTTTCACAAGGTCACATAACAAGTAAGGTGAAGAGTGGGATTCAAACCTAGCCATCCTGGCTGCTGGAACTTGCTCTCACCAGTGTGTCATATGCCTTCAGTGTATACATTCTGTGACAACCAGGACCTATTTATCTTATCCCGAACACCTCCTATGGTACTTAATACATAGTAGGCACTCAGCAAAATCCATTAAAAAATACAGGAATGAAAACTCAGAGGTAATTGATGAGGTTATTAATTACTCAGCGTAACCAATGCCACTGTAGTGACTGAGAAAACATCAGCTCAAAATGGGTTAAAAAGTGAATGGAGGATTAAGATGGCATATATGAGGCAGAACTAGCTTGCAGCTCCTGCTCGCATGGACAGAGAAGTATGTGAAGACTCACACTGTGAACTTTTGCTCCAAGAACTACCACAGGAACATACCAGGAAAGCCAAGAGAATCCACAGACCCTTTGAAGAAACTGGATCACCACTGCAGACTTCAGTGAAATAGATAGCATAAATAAAAAACAATCACAACTTCTGGAAATCAAGGATACACTTAGAGAAATGCAAAATGCACTGGAAAGTATCAGTGATAGAATTGAACTAGTGGAAGAAAGAACTTCAGAGCTTGAAGACAAGGCTTTTGAATTAACCCAATCTGTCAAAGACAATGAAAAAAGCATGAAAAAAAAAATGAACAAAGCCTTCAAGAAGTCTGGAATTATGTTAAACGTCCAAACCTAAGAATAATTGGTATCCCTGAGGAAGAAGAGAAATCTAAGTTTAGAAAACATATTTGAGGGAATAATTGAGGAAAACTTCCTGGCTTTGCTAGAGATCTAGACATCCAAATACAAGAAGCTCAAAGAACACCTGGGAAACTTATCACAAAAAGATCATCACCTAGGCACATAGTCATCAAGTTACTTAAAGTCAAGACAAAGGAAAGAGTCTTAAGAACTATGAGGCAAAAGCATCAGGTAATCTATAAAGGAAATCTGCTGTCAGATTAACAGCAGATTTCTCAGCAGAAACCCTACAAGCTAGAAGTGATTAGGTACCTATTTTTAGCCTCCTTAAATAAAATAATTATCAGCCAAGAACTTTGTATCCAGTGAAACTAAGCTTCATAAATGAAGGAAAGATACAGTCTTTTTCAGACAAAAAAATTCTGAGAGAATTCACCACTACCAAGCCAGTACTGTAAGAACTGCTAAAAGGAGCTCCAAATCTTGAAATAAATCCTTGAAATACATCAAAATAGAACATCCTTAAAGCATAAATCTCACAGGATCTATATGAAAATAACACAATGAAAAAAAATGTATTCAGGCCACAAATAGCATGATGGATAGAATAGTACTTCACATTTCAATGCTAATATTGAATGTAAATGGCCTAAATGCTCCACTTAAAAGATACAGAATGGCAGAATGGATAAAAATTCACCAGCCAAGTTTCTGTTGTCTTCAGGAGACTCACCTAAAATATAAGGACTAACATTCACTTAAGGTAAAGGGGTGGAAAAAGCTATTCTATGCAAATGAACATGAAAAGTGAGTTGTAGCTATTCTTATACCAGATAAAACAAACTTTAAAGCAACAGCAGTTAAAAAAGACAAAGGGGGACACTATGCAATAATAAAAGAACTAGTCAAACAGGAAAATATTATAATTATATATATATGCACCTAACACTGAAGCTCCCAAATTTATAAAACAATTACTACTAGACCTAAAAAAAATGAGATAGATGGCAACACAATAATAGTGGGGGACTTCAATACTCCACTGACAGCACTAAACAGGTCATCAAGACAGAAAGTCAGCAAAAAAAAAAATGGACTTAAACTATACCCTACAACAAATGGACTTAACAGATATTTACAGAACATTCTACCAAACAACTGAAGAATATACATTCTATTCATTAGCACATGGAATGTCCTCCAACACAGACCATATGATAGGCCACAGAATGAGTCTCAGTAAATTTAAGAAAATCAAAATTATGGCCGGTGCAGTGGCTCACGCCTATAATCCCAGCACTTTGGGAAGCTGAGGTGACTGGGTCACCTGAGGTCAGGAGTTCAAGACCAGCCTGGCCAGCATGGCAAAACCTCATCTCAACTAAAAACACAAAAATTAGCTGGGCATGGTGGCACATGCCTGTAATCCCAGCTACTTGGGAGGCTGAGGCAGGAGAATCACTTGAACCAGGGAGGCAGAGGTTGCAGGGGGCTGAGATCATACCGTTGCACTCCAGCCTGAGCAACAAGAGTGAAACTCTGTCTCGGAAAAAAAAAAAAAAAAAAAAGGAAAATCAAAATTATATCAAATACTCTTTCAGACAAAACTGGAATAAAATTGGGAATCAACTCTAAAAGGAAGCCTCAAAACCACGAAAATACATGGAAATTAAATAACCTGCTCCTGAATGATCATTGGGTCAACAATGAAATCAAGACGAAAATTAAAAAATTCTTTGAACTGAACAATAATAGTGATACAATCTATCAAAACCTCTGGGATACAGAAAAAACAGTGATAAGAGGAAAGTTCATAGCACTAAATGCCTACATCAAAAAGTCTGAAAGAGCACAAATAGACAATCTGAGGTCACACCTCATGGAACTGAAGAAACAAGAACTATCCAAACCCAAACCCAGGAGAAGAAAACAAATAACAAAGATCAGAGCAGAACTAAATGAAATGGAAACAAACAAACAAACAAAAAATACAAAAGATAAATGAAACAAAAAGCTGGTTCTTTGAAAAGATAAACAAAATTGATAGACCAATAGTGAGATTAACCAAGAAAAGAAGAGAGAAGATCCAAATAAGCTCAAATAGAAACAAAATGAGAGCTATTACAACTGATACCACAGAAATCCAAAAGATTATTCAAGGCTGCTATGAATACCTTTATGCACATAAACTAAAAAACCTAGAGGAGATGGATAAATTTCTGGAAATATACAACCCTCCTAAATTAAAACAAGAAGATGTACTAAGTAGAATCTCTGGACAGACCAATAACGAATAGTGAGATTGAAATAGTAATTTAAAAATTGCCAACGAATAAAAGTCCAGGACTAGACAGATTCACAGCTGAATTCTATCAGACATTCAAAGAACAATTTGTACCAATGCTATTGACACTATTCAAAGAGAGAAAGAGGGAATTCTCCCTCAATCATTCTATGAAGCCAGTATCACCCTAATACCAAAATGAGAGAAGGACATAACAAGAAAAGAAAACCACAGACCAATATCTTTGATGAACATAGATGCAAAAATCCTCCACAAAATACTAGCTAACTGAATCCAACAGCATAACAAAAAGATAATTCACCATTATCAAGTGGGTTTCATACCAGGGATGCAGGGATAGTTTAACATATGTAAGTCAATAAATGTGATATACCACATAAACAGAATTAAAAATAAGAATCACATAGTTTTCTCAATAGATGCAGAAAAAACATTTGACAAAATCCAGCATCACTTTATGATTAAAACCCTTGCAAAATCAGCATAGAAGAGACATACCTTAAGGTAATAAAAGCCATCTATGACAAACCCACAGCCAGCATTATACTAAATGGGGAAAAGTTGAAAGCATTCCCACTGAGAACTGGAACAAGACAAGGATGCCCACTTTCACCACTTCCATCCAACATAGTACTGGAAGTTTTAGCCAGAGCAATCAGACAAGAGAAAGAAATAAAGGGCATCCAAATCAGTAAAGAGGAAATCAAACTGTTGCTGTTTGTTGATGATATGACTGTATACATAGAAAACCCTAAATACTCATCCAAAAAGCTCCTAGAACTGGGAAATGAAGTCAGCAAAGTTTCAGGATACGAAATTAATACAAATCAGTAGCTCTGCTATACACCAACAGTGAGCAAGCTGAGAATGAAATCAAGAATGCAACCCCTTTTACCATAGCTGGAAAAAAATACTTAGGAATACATATAATCAAGGAGGTGAAAGATCTCTACAAGAAAAACTACAAAACACTCCTGAAAGAAATCATAGATGACACAAACAAATGGAAACACATCCGTTGCTCATGGATGGGTAGAGTCACTGTTGTGAAAATGACCATACTTCCAAAAGCAATCTATAAATTCGATGCAATTCCCATCAAAATACCATTATCATTGTTCACAGAGCTAGAAAAAAAATTCTAAAACTTTTATGGAACCAAAAAAGAGCTCACATAGCCAAAGCAAGACTAAGCAAAAAGAACAAATCTGGAGCCTCACATTACCCGACTTCAAACTATACTATAAGGCCATAGTTATAAAAACAGCATGGTACCAGTATAAAAATAGGCATATAGACCAATGGAACAGAATAGAAAACCCAGAAATAAAAGTCAAATTCTTACAGCCAACTGATCTTTGACAAAGCGAACAAAATAAAAAAATAAAATGGGGACAGGACACGCTATTCAACAAATGTTGCTGGGATAATTGGCAAGCCACATGTAGAAGAATGAAACTGGATCCTCATCTCTCACCCTATACAAAAATCAACTCAAAATGGTTCAAAGACTTAAATCTAAGACCTGAAGTCATAAAGATTCTAGAAAATAACATCATGAAAGCCTTTCTAGACATTGGCTTAGGCAAAGACTTCATGACCAAGAACCCAACAGCAAATGTTACAAAAACGAAGATAAATAGATGGGACTTAATTAAACTAAAAAACTTCTCCACAGCAAAAGAAATAATCAATAGAATAAACAGACAACCTACAGAGTGGGAGAAAATCTTCACATTCTATTCATCTGACAAGGGACTAATATCCAGAATCTACAAATAACTCAAATCAGCAAGGAAAAACCAATCCCATAAAAAAGTGGGCTAAGGACATGAATAGGCAATTCTCAGAAGAAGATATACAAATGGCCAACAAGCATATGGAAAAATGCTCAGCATCACTAATGATCAGGGAAATGCAAATCAAAACCACAATGCAATACCACTTTACTCCTGCAGGAATGGCCATAATCAAAAAATCAAAAAAATAATAGATGTTGGTGTGGATGTGGTGAAAAGGGAACACTTTTACACTGTTGATGGGAAAGTAAACTAGTACAATCACTATGGAAAACAGTGTGGAATTTCTTTAAGAACTAAAAGTAGATCTACCGTTTAATCCAGCAACCCCACTACTAGATATTTTCCCAGAGGAAAAGAAGTAATTATACAAAAAAGATACTTGTACATGCATGTTTACAACATCAAAATTTGCAATTGCAAAAATATGGAACCAGCCCAAATGTCCCATCAATCAATGTGCGGATAAAGAAAATGTGATGAGAATACTACTCATCCATAAAAAGAACAAAATAATCTGCAGCAACCTGGATGGAACTGGAGACTGTTATTCTAAGTGAAGTAACTGAGGAATGGAAACCAAACATCGTACGTTCTCATGCATATGTGGGAGCTAAGCCATGAGGACACAAAGGCATAAGAATGATACATTGTACTTTGGGGACTTAGGGGAAAGGGTGGGGGGGTGGCAAGGGATAAAAGACTACACATTGGGTACAGTATATACTACTCAGGTGATGGGTGCATCAAAATATCAGAAATCACCACTAAAGAACTTATTCATGTAACCAAACACAACCTGTTCCCCAAAAACCTATTGAAATAAAAAAATTAAAAATTAAAAAAAGCAGCAAAAGAGTGAATGGAGGTGAATATGCAAGGAGAGAGACAAATAGACTTTCAGGTAATTTGGTGCTATATAAATGTTATGTTTTCATAGTATGGGTTCGTTCCTACAAATCTCTTTATTATGGCAATACGACTATTACCAGAGGCATATTTTCTCACTATATAATTGGTTATGTACTACTCTACTAACGCTCTAGGACTTTGAATACATCTTATCACCATTATTATCCATTATCCTGAGAGAAGCTCTAGTTTCTTCACAAGAGATAACCAGTTTCTCCAACAGTTATATATGCAAGACTATTTTGTCTTTTATCACAATTATTTTATCTTTTCCTCTATTTCTTTTCTTTTTACACTTTTCAGTGTAGTTCACGTATCTTAAGTATTCATTTGGTGGAGATACATATGTGTGTGTGTCGGGGGTACACATACTACTGATCAAGATATGCAAGATATAGAACATTTCAGCCCTCTGGGAGGCTCCCTTGTGCCTCTTCCAAATCAATACCTCTATTCTATTTTATCCTGCTTCTTTTGCTAAACCTAGTATTTCTGAAATTAATTAATGTCATAATGTGTAGCTTGTTCTTTATATTGCTGTTATTTCTTTACAATCTGCTACAAAATATTGCTACTTATTTTTCTGTGTTATTGTTAGTGGTTAGTTATTTTTATATTTTTGGTTATTATAAATAAATCACCTATGAACATTCTATTATATGACTTTTGGTGGTTATATATGTTTATTTCTCTTGCATATATAACTAGGAATGGAATTTATGGATCATAAGGTGCGCATATGTTTAGTTTTAGTAGATACTACCGCAGTGTTCTCCAAAGTGATTGTACTAATTTAAACTCTTACTAACAATAAGGAGAGTTCCAGTTGTTTCACATCCTCAGCAACACTTTTAATTATTAGACTTTTTTGCTTCAAAGAATGCACATAGGAAAATAGGATTAATCCATAGAAAAAAATAGCTAAAATACAAAGTGCTATGTGATGAGTGTATGATGGGACAAAAATTAAGGAACTGCAGATATTCCCAGACTTTATCCCTTGTCCAGAACTCTGAGGATAATCTTGCAATTGCTGACCCAGTATTCCCCTTCTTACTATATTTACATATTTAATGAAGATATAATTTTCATAAATAAAGTGCACAGATCTCAAATGATAGTTGGATGAGTTTTGGCAATTAGGTACATCTGTGCAACTTCTTCTCAAAACAAGTGACATAATATATTCTTCACCATCCAAAGTTATCTCATATCCCTTTCCAATCAATCTCCTCCCTTAAAACTTGCCAACAGAGGCAATCACTTTTTAATTTCTGTTACCAGCCATTTGCACTTTCCCAAACTTCTGCAGATGTCCCATGGGGAAAATCAGTTGTATGTTTGGGGCTTGACTAGGATTCCAATCCTTCAACATTGTCAGCATGACTATCAAAACTCTGAGGGGTTTTTTCCCCCCTTTGGTAAAGTACCTCTACCTTGGCTAGCTCCCATGATTGGCAAATGCTGCTAAGGTAGAAAATGACCAGCATTTGCCCACTTTCTGTAAAAAGGACATTTTCTTCTTTGGAAATTTAGGCAATTTAGCCATTTTTGCTTCTATAGTTGTCTGATGCCTCTAAAAATATTATCTTTAAATCTTTGTCAATTTTTCCCTTAATCATTGCAGCAGAAATGTTGAGCTATTACATTCTACTGCCTCCTACTTGAAAGTGGACACTTATTTTCTTTTTAAAAACTATTTTAAAAGAATTTATCAACAAGTACTTATTGGTCACTTGTTTTATTCTTAACACCATGCTGTGAGAGTTAGAAAAAGAATCTAAGCTGACGATCCTTAACCAAGGTAGCTGACATCCATTTAAGAAGAAAAAACGTAGCCAAGTGAAACTGTAAGAAAGCATAACAGCAACGTCAAATATAACAGGAAAGTCTGTAACTTTGGTTAAGTCATTTTGTCTTCCAGGTCTCCTTTTCCACAATTGTAAGCAAGAGATCTGATTCCGATTTGTGATTATCAAACATTTATGTTGAACACACTGAGCCAGATCATGGGGCTGGCCACTAAGTAGCTGCTCATGATATCAATCTGAATGAGGTGTAAAAACAGCAATGGAAATATAATAAGATGGAGAGAACACAATTTATCAGAACCTCACTCAGGAAGGGTACTGCCTGTGATCTTAGAGTAAGCCGTTTGGGATATTGGGTGAGATTTCCAAGGAGAATGCTTAAGAAAGAACAGATGGAGGATAAACTCTTCTACGGAGGGGGAAGCTGGTTTACCACAGAGTTTTTATTCTGTAAAACGGCAAGTTTGGGTTCCATCCAAGATGCCTGGCATAATAGAGGGGAGGCTGAGGCTCTAACAGCCCTATTTTTCTGTCCCCTCATGCAGCTTTCAGTATTTCTACATGAATGATGAGCATATAGTTTAAAAGTATAGTCTAAATGAGACCACATTCATATTAGCTCTGCATGCGCAGCCTAGTTCTCTAGTAAATAACTCCTTTATAAGTGAGGTTGTACATAGAACCCCAGTACAAAAACACGAAACAGAAATCACCTGGTTAAATTATACACAAGGGTGTGGGGCTTTGTCTGCTCAGCTTCCCTTAAAACCTGCTGATAAAATTTTACCAAATCTTAGGTCTTAGTGGAATACTCTTTGAAAACTACTGAGATGATTTCCACCTTTTTTTTTAACCACTGATGTTCTCTGATTCTGTGATAAGGTATAGACATCTGGAGAATCAGACTGTAATACTTTACTTCTTAGATTCTAATCTGTCATTCATGAATATTAATGCTATTAATTATTTGATGTAATATCGGATATTTTGAGAAAAATAAAACATGTACATGTTAAATGTATAATTATCCCTTACATTTTATTTTCTCTCTCTTTTTTTTATATTCTGAAAGCTTTCCTGAACTTCTTGTGGCCCTTCTATTAAATAATGTTTTTATTTCTATGAACTCTTTCCTTTTCTTTTACTATGTATTTTTTTAGTCACCTGTTCTTGTTTTCTGGATGCCCACTCTTCTTACAGCTCTTGGACGCTATTAATTAGAATTCTCTTGATGTTTGTTTCTCTTTTCTAGGGTACCCAATGTTTGCTTCTCAGTTCTTTCTTCCATCCTATTCCTTCTTCTCTGAACAGCTGGCTCTCTGCAAGTTTTCCAGGAGCCTTGATTGTAATTCATATTTAAGCACGAAAGACTGTTGATTAGTAAAGGCAGATGACGTGGTTTCCTCTGTTGCTTCAGGTGCCCCTCCACAGGGAGACAGCAGTTTGAATTCGGGGTGTGCTGACTGCCAGGCTTCACCTCAGTCAAGCTGCCCTGTCTCTCCCTTTGCTGGGCCACAACGAAGAGAGCCAGCTTTGAGGGACCAACTTTCATGTAGGTGCAAATTATTCCCAAGCAGGTTGCTTAATTCCTTTGGGAGCATCTCCCAGGCCTTCATGGGGGAAGACACTGCTGTGGCACGGGGCAGAGAGAGTGGAGAAGGGATTATCTCCTGACCCAGCAGAATTCCACAGGTGGCTCTTTACTCATCATCTCAATTTCTGCCCCTTCTCCCATGCTCTCTACATTGCTTATTCCAAAATATTATACGGGAAAAACTTATGTGGTGGTCTTCCTCCTGAGCTGGAGCCTCCTCCTGCATCCAGTGTTAGTAGGCAGTATAAGCCTGTTGTTCAAGATTTTCTAAATGGCTGTAACTCCCATTCTTGGTGCTTTTTTATGGCTTTATATCCTTGTGCACTTTACTGTGATAGCATACTAAAGATGGGGCAGCTGGAAAGCTCTGGGTGCAAGCAACAGGAGATGTATTGCTGGTAGAGAATTTAAACACAATAATAAAACCAACTGAAAGGAAGTCTGGTTTTTATAATCACCAAGGTCAGTGATAACTGGCCTCCTCCAATCCCCCGACCAAAAAACCCACTTTCTTTGATCTAAGTTCTAAATAATTGCTTTGGTTACTGTAGAGTTTTAATAATATATATGTGTATCAGAAAAAAACCACAGTTTTTACTGCCTGCTTATTCTTTAACAACACTGAATTCTACAGTGAAGCTAATTTGGAAATTTCCCAGTTACACGGTTGACCCCAACACAAATAAGCGTAATTTTTACTGCTTGTTCTGTAACAAACATTGGATTCTACAGAGAGGCTAACTTGGAAATCTTCCAGTTACATAATTGACTTCAACACAAAGGGATTCAGCTACCTATGTTTGTCTCAAGAGTAAGTTCTTAAAGATTTGGAAGCATTCAAGCTCACTTTCGGAAGCATTTGTATCTCCAATCCCTATGGTGCTACCTATGCTTGCGTTGAAAAGAGTAGATTTGAAATGAACAATGACAGTGCAGTGATGATAAAGAAGAAACAGAACTTGAATTACTTCCATTATCTCATTTTATCTGATAATTTTGAGTTTTATTTGTGTTTAAATTGAAAACAATGATCAACAGACCAAATAGCTGTAATATTTTTGTGGTAAGTACTAATTTTAGTTCATACATGATTTATTTCACTAAGTATTTTTAAATGAAAATTTTTGTATACAAAGTAAACCTTTGTTTCAAACTGTGAAACAAATTAATGAAATAACGATTAGTACTGAAAGCAATTTTGTCATAAAAAGGGAGTATTAAAAGATGATGCATCTGGGTGTCAAATAACTGCATGCCGCTGCTTTTTGTCATTTAGGTGGGTTGGGGGAAGGAAGGAAGTCAACGCATGTGTTCAGTCTGCCATTTTGAACGAGTAGTGCAGGTACCATAAGAAATTAGAGAACTCAAGAGGTTAAATAACTTGTTTAAAGCAAGGTTTAAGTCAGTAGTGGAGTTCATGTCCCACTCTCATTACTTTTAGTCAAACTAGTCATTGCACTTTGTGTGATTAGTCAGCCTGTGAAGGATATCCATACACGTTCAGCTTTCCCAGTCCGTTTGTGCTGAGCACAAGTCCCATTCCTCATTAGGACTTCTCCTAAGGCTGTTTCAGCTCAGACTCCTCTCAAGCCTCACATACCTTATACTTCATCTAGTGCTTTTCATATTACACCTGTGTTTTGCTTCCACCTGGGCTGTAATCTCTTTAAGAGTAGGAACCATATTTAATGGATTGCTCTATCTCTTTGCAGCACAGAGCCTACTTCCTGTAGGTTTCCAGGAATAGTTGCTGATAGAGATGGTTATGGTAAGGTTGGAAAGAAAGGCTAACCCTCAATGGTGACTTACTTTGAACATGGATTTTTACAAAAGGTCAATTCATTTGGAAACAAGTCTGAAAAATGAACTCTGAACTCTCGGTGTTTTTACTTTTTAGTCAAAAGTAAAGCATGATTACAAAGCAATGAGATTTCCTGATAGCTTCATTTACACAGTGGTTCCAGAGGAATTTCCAGAAGTATGATCCAGACGCATTCTGTGCTATGGCAAAGTCATTCACATGTGCATCTAGCCTCCTTCAGAAGGCTGACTCTGAAAGATAACACTTATTGGATCTGCTGGTTTAGTTACCTAAATATCCTGAGGTGATACTATTTTCCTAAAGCACTAAGTCATATTAAAGGCATTGGTTCAATGTGAAACATTATCAGAGATTAAAAGAAAACTGGATTTGACAAGAGAGTAACAGTTTGCTCCTTCTCTCCTTAGGAGAAAGTTCTGAATTTGTTCTCTTCACAGCCAGGGCATTGTTGTAATCAGACACCTTCTGTTAAACGTTACTCAATTTCAATTCTAGAGAGAAATAAAAAAGGGTAAGAGAGCTGTGGCCGAGAGCACGGTACCTTATATCATCAAGATCTGTGTTGTTTTTTTTTTAATCCAGAAAGACAATTTAACAGATTGAGGAAGTTGTGGGAGAAGAGATAGCTATATAAATACAGTCCCAAACAAAAGACCTTTCATTGAGAAAGATAAGACTGTGTTTGGACAGAATCAAAGTTTACCAAGTCATGATTGAATGGAGAGGATAAGTTGAGGCTTGTTTAACAAATGCAAATATTGAATATTCAAGAATGGCAAGTTTAGAATAAATGTAAGGTGTGTATTATTTCAGCAGAGGGAGGTAAATACACTTCTGGAACTCATTTAGCCTCAAAGGTGGTACTGGCTAAAATACAAGTAGATTGCAAAGTGCTTACAATCCATTCGGAGATGATAGGTATAGCATGGATTATTAAGGGAAGCCAGAGTGATCGAACCTTTCCCTGACCTCTGAGGCTGATACTGAATGTGACATGCTGGCCCTCCAGGACTCACTCTTGGGGTCATCATCAGAGACAGTCAGTTGGACTGCAGAATCAAGGGACTGGCCCAGGGGCACAATTCTGATGTTCTCATGTTTCATCTCACTGAGCTAAATATTAACTTTCGGCCTGTGTGTCTGTCACCAAGTCATCTGTCTTGGTAAATGCTGTTGGAGTCTCAGCATTGTGAGAAGGCAATGAATTTTCCCTGCTGACAGTGAGAATATCCACACCAAGCTGCCATAGAGATTTCTGCTTCCCACAATGTTTATGACAGTAAATTAGGCTACAGAGTGCACTGAAGGTTGTTTACATAACCCCGATAGCTGGTATATTTGTCAGTCCCACTCCGTGGGCTGTGACTTCAGTAGAGCCAGATAATGTTTAAAATATAAGGCTATAGTAATGTATGAAATTATCAGAGTGCTTTACAAGAACTCTGATTATAAACACTTGTTTATTTGGACCTTTTGCTTGGATCTCATATATTTTCTTTC
Organism: Homo sapiens; assembly: GCF_000001405.40. NCBI lineage: Eukaryota > Metazoa > Chordata > Mammalia > Primates > Hominidae > Homo > Homo sapiens. Next base: position 19,504,350 of record NC_000002.12, on the reverse strand, counting down.
CCCCTCTTTTTTCTTTTTTTTTTTTTTTTTGGATTGGATCTGTGTCCCCACCCACATCTCATGTTCAATTGTAATCTCCAATGTTGGAGATGGGATCTGGTAGAAGGTGATTAGATCATGAGGGTGGATCCTTCATGAATGATTTAGCACCATCCTTTCCATCCTTTTGGTGCTGTTCTTGTGATAGAGTTCTTACTAGATCTGGCTGTTTAAAAGTGTGTGGCACCTCCCACCCTCTCTTTTCCTCCTGCTCTGGCCATGTAAGACGTGCCTGCTTCCCTTTCGCCTTCCACCATGACTGAAAGTTTCCTGAGGCCTCCCCAGAAGCTGAGCAGAAGCCACTATGCTTCCTGTACAGCCTGCAGAATGCTGAACCAATCAAACCTCTTTTCTTTATAAGTTACGCAGTCTCAAGTATTTCTTTATAGCAGTGTGAGAATGGACTAATACAGTTCTAGTATTATCTTTCCATTTTTCTCTGGTTTCATTGTTAGTTTCAATTCTGTACCCAAACAGAGTAGCTTGGGCTTTTTCTTTTAAACTTGTTATATGTTCTAGCCCTGTCTCTCTACAGAGCCATTTTCCGGAAAGTCAGTGACACAAATTGGCCACATATGCAGATAATTTTCAACTCTCTAGATCTCACCCTAACTCTTTGCCTTGTGTCCAGACTTTCGGTTCAGCTTTATGCTTCCACTTACCTTGTTCAGTCTTTAGCAGAAAATCTCGTTTTATAAGACTTGATTGCAAAATAGAGACTGTTGCATAAAGCAATCACCACTGAGTGTCATTCCAATCAAAATAGAAGCTTTCAGGAAATATTCACTTTTGGAACTTGTGTGTGTAGCCCTCATTTGCAGTAAATTTTGTCCTTTGATATTGGAATCCGATTTTTCAAAAGAGCTAAAGTTATCTGGTTTCAAAAAAAAATTTGATGGTAAAGTAGCCCTAACAGATTGCACTTCATAAAATTTTTATTTTCATCAAGCTAAAAATCTGTTTTCTTATATATTTAATTCATTTTATATAATTTCATGGCCACTTTTTTCCCAGAACTACAAGAAGAGTTTCTGATACAGAAGTAAATTATACAAAGAAAACGTTTTAAAATAACTGTTTGGCCTGGAGGGAAATTTTGATTTCTTGGCTCCAACAATCCTTTATATCCACTTTAATGGCTTTCAGCAGGCAAAGACTAATTAGTAGATTATGAATTTTAAATGTAGTGGTCACTACCTGCAATGTTTTGTTTATTGTGTTTTGTTTTTTGATGGTGCAGAATAAATAGAAGGGAATAGAATAATATAGAATAGAATAGGATTCCAGTTCTGCTTAGGATATAGAAAGTCACAAGAAAACTCTGTTCCTATCCTACCAATAAGAAAAACTAAATAGTAAAAAACAACAAAAATAATTTTCTTGAATCCACAATAGAGGTCACTGGGTAACAAGGTGAACTGAATTATTCAAAGTGCACCAAAGGTAACTATAGTAATAAAAAACCCAAATCCAGATCACTTAGATTAAATCAACTCCCCATAATGCCTGATAGAAAAAGAACTACATCCATTTCTGTGTTCAAATATTTTAAAACTCAGTCAGTATTGTTCTAAGCATAATGTTTGGCTTTTGATTACAAAAATTATAAAACCCCTAAAAACTAACCCATTGTGAAGAGACAAATCAGTAGAGATGATATAGATGCTGGAACACTGACCTTTAAAAATACTTATGATTGATATTTATTAATGATATTAACCACTGGAGAAGGTAGACAACATGCAAGAATAGAGTTAGAATTTCAGTAACGAGATAAAAACTACATACATAAAAGATACGATAAGCAGGTTGGTCACAGCTGAAGAAGAATGAGTGAATTAGAAGTTAGAACAATAGAAGTTATCTAAGCTTAAACACAAGAGAAAAAAACAGGTGGTGGTAGAGAGGACAAAGCATCTGAGAGGTAAGAATTGTGGGGCAACATCAAAAGTCTAACATATGTGTAGCTGGAGTCCCAGATAGAGAAAAAACCGGAGAGCAGAAAAAAATATTTGAAGAGATCATGGGCAAGCCTTTTCCAAAATTGATGAAATGCAATAAACCAAAGATCCAAACACTTTATAATGTGTATGCACTTAATAGCAAACACCTACAGGACTGAAGCAAGAAGTCCACAATTATAGATGGAAATTTCAATACTTCTCACACGGGAATTGATAGAACAAATACACAAAAAATTGTAAGAATATAGGAGACATGAACTGCACTATCAACCAACTTCAGCAAATTGACATGTATAGAACACTTCACCCATCAGTAATAGAATACATATTCTTTTCAAGTACACATGGAACATTCATTAAGAAGCACTATCTTCTGGGCCATCAAACAAAGCTCAACAAATTTTAAAGAACTGAAATTATATGTATTAGGCCATTCTTGCATTGCTGTGAAGAAATACTTGAGATTGGGTAATTTATAAAGAAAAGAGGTTTAATTGGCTCATGGCTCTGCAGGCTGTAAAGGAAGCATAATGCTGGCATCTGCTTCTGGGGAGGCCTTGGGAAGCTTACAATCATGGCAGAAGATGAAGCAGGTGTCTCACATGGTGGGCGCAGGAGCAAGTGCAAAGGGGAAGGTGCTACACACTTATAAAGGGCCAGATCTAATAAGAACTCACTCACTGTCTCAAGGACAGCACAAGAGGATGGTGCTAAACCATTCATGACAAATGCACCCCCATAATACAATCACCTTCCACCAAGCCCCACCTTCAATACTGGGAATTACATTTCAATATGAGATTTTGGCGGGGACACATCTGAAGTATATAATTACGTAAAGTACTTTTTTCTGCAGAAGGGATTTAAACTAGAATCAATAACAGAAAGCTATTAAAAAGAAGCCAGGCACACTGGTGCATGCCTGTAATCTCAGCTACTTAGGAGGCTGAGGTCGGAGGCTTGCTTGAGCCCAGGAGTTCAAGGTCAGATAGCAAGACCTGATTTCAAAGGTATTGCAATAATTTCTTTAACATTCTGCAATCATTAATGATCAGCCTTATTATCATCATATATAATAGATGATAAAAATAACACTTGTGTGGCAAAGAGAAAATTGCTCATACAGTTGCTGACAATCATTTCTCTTATATATTGATGCTGTGTGTACAATCTTTGATAAATTACCTGGTAAATAAAAAACTATTTCTCAGTGTTATCATTTACCTTATATAATTCTATTGTTAAAGAACATTTCAAAGCAATGTTTATTACATCATGATACTTAAGTATAGATTCCACAATCCAATCTGATTAATGTCCTGATATTTGCAACACTTTTAATTTAGGTGGGATAAATGTGGCAAAATAATTTCATAAAAGAGTTGTGTAGTTGTGTAAGTTTAACCTAAATTACAATTCATTTAACCTTGATTTTAATTTCCTCCTAGAATTAGGAAGAAAAAATGGTGGTCAACATATATTAAGGCAAAAATATATTGGAAAGCATATAGAAATTACTATAATGCTTAGTCTATTAATAATGGTACAATTTCAAAGGACTACAAATATATATAATAAATATTGAGAATTCTTCAAAATTCTGTGATTGTCATGAATATATTTAAAAATACATGAAATAATTTTTAATTTAATGATTTTAGTTTCTTTAAAATTTAATCTTAAAGGAATTTTACCAAATAACTAGATTGTGGAAATATTTTGTTCAGAGATTGTTGTAAACTGTTTCTATTTACTACACAATTCTAAAGTTCTTTGGTTTTTGGAAGAGAAAGTATTAAACAGGGCATAGAAACTCACAAATGAGATTCACATTTTCAGTTGTAAAGAAATCTCACTTGGAAAATATTTTTAAAGATGTTATATGGGTAATAAAATTGGCTACTTAACTGATATTTTAAGCAATCTTAACAAATATAATTTAAAACTACAGGGAAAACCAATGCTATATTTCAACAAGTTAAGAGGTTCCAAAAAATGTTGTTATGGCAAGCAAGACTCAAAAATAGTCACCCTAGTTGCTATGTTTTCCCAACATTGCTATAACATATTGAAAAGAATGCTATTAATGAAGCCAGTTTGAATAAAATAAATTCAGAGATATTGTTACATTTCACTTCTTTGTTTCAAACTTTCAATCACTACTTTCCAGAAGGGAAATTTGAAACATTGAAGAAGAAAGTTTTCTATGCAAACCTTGAATTAATTATTTATTTAAACTTGATCCACGAAAAATAAAATAAATCATTATATCTAAGCTCTTCCTTACACCAAAGAATATTTATACAATAGAGTTTACCATTGTTTTGGATTAAGATTATACGAAAATTTCTATTGCTAAGTAGAAAAAGTGTATATCTATAATTGCCATTCACAATGAATTGCCACTCACAAAGTTTATATCATCTTGTATAAACTAAGATTTTCAACACTGAATTGATAAAAAAAGAAAGAAAATAATAGCCTCAAAACTGTACCAGGGGTCATCTGCTTCTGGTTAAGGTGAAATAACAGACTAGATTTACCATTCCACTTGAAACAACTAAAAAATAAAAATTACATAAATAGATGAAATAATGATTTTTAAGAAATTGGAAATCAGATAATGAAGGGCAATAATCTCTGAGATATAATAAACAAATGATGTGAGCCTTATAAGTAGCCACAGTGCAGGGAGAGGCGACCCAGGCAGTACCCATTGGTCTCCCTGAGTTGAAGAGACAGAGCTGAGATGCCAAGGCTGCTAGAGTTCACAGAGTAGAATACCAAAGAAGGGAGAACCTGATGAAGAGATAATGCAGAGATTTGCAGAGGGTCCTTCTTGAATATGCAGCAGAGTACTGAGTCTGTTCCCCCTCAGCAAAACTGGAAAAACCTCTTAACTCACAGGGGATTGACTAGAACTCTCAAAAAATTCTTGTCTCAGTTGTGGGAATTAATAGCCTGAAGCTAGATCCAGCTCTCGTCCCACCTAATGAGTCTCAAAAGCAAGGTCTGAAAGAATCATGAGGCCGACAAATAAACTAATTTTGTTTCAGAACAATAATCAAGAATGTTTATAGAAATATGATAATATCCATCACCTAACGAAGCAAAATGCACTGTGTGGCATCTAATGAAAATGTACCAGGCATGCAACAACAACAACAACAAACTAGGAAAATAGAACTCATAACGAGGAGAAACATAAATCAATTGAAATGGACCCAGACTGACACAGACCTTAGAATTACCAGCAAAAGACATAAAATAAATTATTATAACTGCATCTATACTCAATAGGCATGCAAATTATAAAATGAAGATCCAAATCAGCCTTTCAGAAGTTAAAATTATAATGGCTATGGCAAAAATACACTGTATTAAGCTAACTGCAGATTAGATGTTACAGAAGACTAGATAGTGAACATGAAGACATAACAACAGAAATGATCCAAAATTAAATAGAAAAAAAAGGCTAAAAGTAAAATGAAGTATCAGTGAGTTGTAGGAAAACTCCAAAGAAGTGAGCATCTGTGTAATTGGAGCTATGAAGTAGAAAGGAGACAGAAGTATTTGAAGCAATCATGGCTGAATACTTCCCAAATGTAATAGAAACTCTAAAGCCATTTATTTAAGATTTCAATAAACCCCAAGCTTGAGAAATATTATAATAGCATAGTTCAAAAGCAGTGATTAAGAAAAAAAATCTTAAAAGCAGCCAGAAGACACATAGGAAGAAAGACTAGACAGATTTTTTATCAGAAACTTGTCTTCATCAGCTAGAAGACAGTGGAACAACATAAAGACAAACCAAAACAAAACCCCAAACTACCTGTTAACCTAGACTTATATATCTAGTAAAAATATCTTTAAAAAATAACCCCCCCAAAAAAAGACTTTTTCAAATATGCAAAACCTGAAACACTTAATCACAGTGGACCTGCACTACAAGACACATTTGACAAAATTCTTCAGACCTAAGATAAATGGTACTAGATAGAAAGGGAAGTCTACACAAAAGAATGAATAGCCCATAAAATGGTAACCACATAAGATTTTTTCCTATTATCTAAATCTCTTTAAATAATTCTTGACTGCTTAAAAATAATAACAACATAGTGTGATGTTTATAATAGGTATAAAAGTAAAATGTATGACAATAGCACAAAGGCCAAGAAGGAAGAAATGGAAGTAAACTATTATAAAGTCCTCTTACTATACATGAAATGGTATAATATCTCTTGAAGGTAGAGTGTAATAAGTTAATATGTATGCTTTGAACCCTCAAGCAACCACTGAAATGAAAAAGACAAAAAAGTTATAGCTAATAAGCTAACGAAGGAAATATAATTGAATAATTTACAAAATTCAAAAACTAGAAACAACCAAATGTCCATAACTAGGTTAATGGATAAGCAAATTGTGTTATATCTATTAATGGAATAATTCTCAGCAATAAAGAAGGAATCACTGAAACATAAGACAACATAGATGAATCAGAAAATAATTCCACTGAGTAGCTAAATATTGAGAATACATTGAAATATCCATTTATTAAGAGGTTTGGGTCCTGTTACTCTTCTTTCAACGTCCTTCACACTATATATAGGGAAACACAAGCCAGGATGCAAACATCCCAGGGTTGTAAAACAATCTTTGATAATGGTCTTTTGGGGAGTGGTGAGGTTCTGCGTTTTGTGTTCTAATCTTACATTTGCCATTAACTAGTTTTGGGGCAATGGGAAAGTCATTTTCCTTATTGGCTTTGCTTCTGCATTTGTATTAATAACATAAGGGGATTATAAGAGGTTTAAGGCCCCATCAGCTATGAGTCACTAAACCACAACAGGTCTTGTAAATCCAGACACAGAACTGAACTATAGAACGGTTGGGACCCCAAATCAGGTGTTTTCATGTCACACACTTCACTTGATTTTTTCGTGTAGTTGATTGCACACTTATTTTGTTTCTCTTACCAGCCAAGTGTTTCTGAGAGTCAGGGCAGCTCTGCTCTTCCCTTCCTCACCCAGCTCTGTGCTTCGATGATGATCCGGTCTAAGGTAACATTGGCTGACTTGACTAACTCATGAAAAATAGGGGTAATAGAAGCACTGAGTGTCTCCTCTGCAATTGTGCTGCAGTGTTGTGCAGTTTGAGATGACTAGAATAGGAATCAGGAGACTTGGGCTTTAGTCTGAGTTACCTAGTCTCAGTTTCCTCATCCATAAAATAACTCCTGGTGTATTCATTGCAGTGAGTGGTTGTTAGAATCAGATAGGATGATGGATGTGAAGGCATTTTGTAAAATGTAAATCATTCTGCAGAATTAAGGGAAGACTATTATTTCTAAATGTGAATTTGCAAAGAAACACCAGCTGAAGTAGCTAAGACTTTAACATGGGGCTGCTCTTGAGCTAACTCAAAGTGGGTGCCAGAGGCGACTTTGGCTTTGCTTTTTATGTAACCAAAGGGAATGATTCATTAGCTGCTGTTACGAGGCCTATATATGTAGCACCACCTGGGTGTGTGGTCAACAGTGCCAAAGTTATTTGGTCACCGGAATTTGTGGGAAATACCTGGAGGACATCACTTGTACTTGGTGGGTGGTGATAGAAAACTTCCTTCTGAAGGACGAGATTAGGTCTGATGCTGATATCTTTTAGAAACCCCGTTGAAAGTGAATGAGTGAAAGTTAGAGCATGCCTTCCCCAGGTCCTGGAGAAGAATGTCTTACAGCCTGCAATACAGGCAGAGTTGGGTCCATTCTACTCCCAAGGTGCCCCATTCAGGTCTGGATTTGCAACATTATGCTGTGATTGTCTTCTGCTTTTGCTCTACCCAATTAACCATAAATTCTTTAACATCAGGGACTGAGTTTTAGGCATTTAATTTTCAGCCTTTGAGACCTATGAGTGTTGAGTAGGTGCTCAAAAAACCTTTGGTGACCCCAAACGAAAACCAATGGATAAGATATAAGACTAGGTTCTTCATCTTGCAAAGCTTGTGTTCTGATGGCAAAGGCAGATATATGACCAGATATTTATTGAGTGATGTGCTATGTGTGAGAACAGAAGCTTCAGAGAAGACTTTTTGGCAATAGGAGATGATACTTGAGTGGCATTTTAAAGGATGAGAAGGCTGAGCCAGGGGAAGAACGGAAGGAAACATGGTTCAGGAGGTTCCTGTAATATCACACTCTTAATGTGCTTAAATATTGCAAGATATTTTTGCATCAATTTTCTTAATTTTCACAGTAATTTACATGTGAGTAGGATAATCCTTAGTGCCACATTCATAGATCAGGAAACCAAAATCCAGATAGGTTAAAGGACTTGAATAGGTCACACGGCATGTTGGGGGAGTGTGTAAATTAGAATTCTCTTAACTTTTACTTCTCTGTCATTCATCCCAGAACACATGGCTTTATGTATTAGTTCATGGACTTTCACTCTCCATTAGAGCTACTCTTTTGAGTTTATTGGAAGCAGTTTCCAGAGATAATTATAAACTGGGCAAAAAATAAACTGCTTATCAGAGTTTGGAATGGGGAGATTTATTTGGTAGCTTATACTTTACTTACAAACAAAAGAAATTCATTGCTTACAATGTAGAGCCCAAGCACAGTAAAGACAAAAGAGTCCAGTTCAAAGTGACATTAACAAGCCCAGGGCATAAGGCGAGAAGAGCTGATTTTGCCAGTTGTTGCCAAATATTTGAAACTTAAAAAAAAATTCTTTTGAATTTGAAAAAACTCAAACCTTCTTTTGCAGGACTCTTCTCCTCTATTTCCTTCATTTCTAAATTTAAGAACACTTAAAGGAAAATCAAATCCATGGGATTAGCATACATTTAAATGATACAACAGCATTGTATAAGAGCTAATTAATGTCTAAGAGTCATAAAGCCTTTGATCTAAATGAAAGTTCATTTGTCAGCTACAACTCCAAAATATTATTATTATTTTTTGAGATGGAGTCTCACTCTGTCACCCAGGCTGGAGTGCAGTGGTACAATCTTGGCTCACTGCAACCTCCTCCACCTCCCGGGCTTACGCAATTCTTCTGCCTCAGCCTCCTGAGTAGCTGGGATTACAGGCGCATACTACTACGCCCGGCTAATTTTTGTATTTTTAGTAAAGATAGAGTTTCACCATGTTGGCTAGGCTGGTCTTGAACTCCTGACCTCGTGATCCGCATGTCTCGGCCTCCCAAAGTGCTGGGATTACAGGTATAAGTTCTTAATGATCATGGACTTTCTCAGATTAAGTGTGTGTGACCGAAAAGCAGGTCATTTTAATGATCTGGGCCTCAACTTTCTCATTTATAAATTGAGATTTACTAGATTTTTTCTGTGTTGTCCTCCAGCTGCAACATTACGTGGTTCTGGCATTGTGGATATTTCTGGCCCATCAGTGTAATAAGACTGCCTAGGTTTCATTCTCTGGCTCTGTTATGAAGGAGCTCTCAATTGCTCTTGTTGACCTCAGTTTCCTCATTTATAAAAATGTAGTCATAGCACCTACCTATAGAATGATTGTTAGATTAAATGGGTTAATACAGGTAAAATGCTGAGGTCAGGATCTGCATCATGGAAAACTTTACAGAAATGAAAACTATTATTACATACTATCTTCTCTTGACTTTGTTAACAACAACAATAGTACCTATCATTTACTGAGAGCTTCCCATGTTAGGCAGTTGCTATGAGCCTCACCGACATCATCTCATTTAATCCTCACCATGACCCTACAGTGGTAGGTAATATTTTTATCTCCTCTTTTGTAAATGGGGAGACTGAAGCTTAGGAAGCTCACTTCAAGCCATACAGCTAGTAAATGGCAAAGCCAGGAATAAAAGTGACCCTCTGGACTTCAGAGTAGGAATTTTCACCCATCATGCAATATTACCCGATCTAGGTAAAGGGCTGTGCTATCTCTGGGGCCAGAGATGGAGACCTGTACTTTGAATCCCTCCTCTGGGCTAGGGCCAGAAATATGATTCAGAATATAATAAGCACCAGTCTGAACGGTAGTATAGATTCACATCATTCGTAAATCCTAAATAGTTCTAAGTCATTCATCTCATAAAAGTCATCTTCCCTCCTTTAATATTAGCTTATTGATTATTTATGTGTTTCTACTGATTTTTTCCCCCAGTGATTTTCTGTCTTCTAGTTAAATTTAGCCAACTACTTAAGAACATACCATTGTGGACAAGAAAGATCATTGTAGCACTTTTTGTAATAGTGAAAACAAAAACAAAACCCAGCATATGGCCTTAAATAAATGAAAGTCTATCAGTTATGGTCTGCTGTACTATTGAAAATAAAGAAGTTACTGTATCTATACTCTTCTTAAATAAACACAAGAAAAGTTATTAACTGTGAATACCCTAAGGTAATGGGGGTCATGCGTTGCCCAGGCACATATTCTTTCAGTCTTCATCTTCAGCCTCATGCCATTCTCTTCCCCTCTCTCTGGACTTCAGTCCTACTGACCTTCCTTCAGTTCTTTAAACATGCCCTACTCCTTCCTGCCTCTGGGCCTTTGCACAGACTTGCCCCTTCTCTCTTCCCAAACTTCCTCTCGCTTTTTTCTTTTTTGCCTTGCTAATTTCTGTGAATTTCCCAATATTTGGCTCAAACTGCTCTTATTCAGGAAGGCTAGGCAGGGGCCTCTTGCTCCACACTCTCATAGCACCTGTCTAATTTTTGGTTTAACGTTTGTCAACCTGCTGGAAGGTAAGCTCCCCAAAGGGCCAGAACCTTCTTTTCTGCCATTTTCACCATTCTCTCCCCTGTGCCAAGCACAATAATTTTTATGCTCCCCAATGAAGGAAAAGCTTATAGATCTCTTAAAGGTAAATATTATTTTTTACTCCTAGAGCTGGGTATGACTAACGCGTTAGAGCTTAAGAAGATCACAGGGAGGAGTCTGAGGTCCAGGAATCTGCCTCTTTGAACAGTACTCCTATTTGGACCACACTGGCCTTGAGCAGAATGGTAAATCAGAAAAAAAATTAGACCTTAGAGTTAAGATATGATTTTAACTCCCATTCATGTATTAATTCAAAAAGTATTTTGAGAGCCAGACACTGTGCTGGGTGCTGCAGAGATAGCAAAAGAGGATTCATATTACCGTCTTCAAGAGCTTTATAGTTGGGGAGAGGCAGGTAAACAGGCAGGTGTGATGCCGTGGACATGTGCTGTGAGAAGGGATGGGGAGGGTATTCTGGGGACCCAGGGAAGGGGATCCCTAACAACACCTGGGAGGTCAGAAAGGCTTCCCAAGAAAGGGAGAATGAGACTGTGAGCCGATGGAGGAGTTCACCTGGAGAGCAACTCAGTGGGCCAGTGGAGTGCATGCGGGCATGGCTGCTGAGGTAAGTGGTGGGTACATTGCAGGGCAGGGAGTTCACCTGGGCTCCAAGACTCAAGGAGGAGGATTTGGAAGGAGGCATCTCTGAAGGAAGTGAGCCTCCTTAATGGGGGATGTTCTAGATGATTCACAAAATTCTCATATGTTTGCATGCTTCCTGTCTCTTAGCTAGATGGAAAGTGGGTGATTATGCCCACTTTCCTGCTTTCTTAAGTCTCATCCTGAAGTTTGAGCATAAAATTTTCCCCTGTGTTATTTTAATGAAATTGCAAAGATCAGAGATTAATCCAGCATGATATGTAAAGGGCTCAGCAAACACGAAAGCAATAAAGTCAAGACAGTGGGTGACAGCACAGATTTTCGTTAAGTATTAAGTTAATTTAGGGCTTTTATATGAAACCCCCCAAAGGTCCTGATAATAAATTCTCATTCTCTTTTCCATAGCCACTCCTCTTTTCCCATCCAAAACTTTTCTGGACTTCAAAGTCTCCCTGCACCCCCAGAGGAGCTCTCTGGCCCTTAGCAGGGTTGTGAGGGTAGTAACTGGCTGATTTAGGGCCCTATCCACGTCCCCTTCACAATGAGGGCCGCCTTTTAACTTGGGTCACTGTCTGCATGAAGGTGCATTTTAAAAACACTCCAAGCCAATGACTCTAGACATTTTGGTCTCTTGTTAATATAGGATAATAAATTTCCGAATTCAGCAATGACAAATAACCCTTCGTGAGTTATTAATACTTCATAAAACAAATATCCCAGCTTTTGTTTCGTTTCTGGCTTTCCCTTGCTCTCTACCCTTCTATCGTTCTTTCTCCCAATTTTTTCTTTTCTCTTCCTACATCTGTCTTTTCTCAGACTCCCTTCATAGTACTAAGTTTGGTTTTGATTGTGAAATTGTTGTTCCAAGTATATAGTTTGCTAATCTACTTTGATAACCTCTTTGAATTTCTAAGTGGGATTTTTTTTAAAGGGTTGTTTTGTTGCAACTGTGCAGCCTTGCTTTAAAGTTTTCTTTCACCATGGAGTTAAAGAGGATTTTATAATGCGTAGTTTTTTCTTAACTAAGGCCACTTTTTATCTGCTTATCTTTTTCATTCTTTATTCCTCCCCTATGCTGTCTTTCCACTTCTCTATCTCCTTTTCCGGTATGATATCTCATTTATCTAGTAGTATCCTCCCTCCCCTTCCCCTCCCTCTTCTGTTTCTCTTCAATTTCTCTTCTCTCTCTCTGGTGTTGATTTTCTCATTGAAAGCTTCAATATTACAAGAGAAAAAAAAGATTCTGATAATTCATTGGAATCTCTACCAGGTCAACTGTGGCTAGAAGCAATAAGAGTTTCTGTGAAGGTTTTGAAAATTCGTTTAATATGGTATTTTTAAAGCTTGCAGTAAAAAAGGACAAGCCAAAATTCTTAAGACACACATATACAAATTTCTCGTGCAAAGGAACAATTCCATTACATAACTAGTTTTTGTTTCATACATGTTACTTTGCTCGTACAACTCAAATTCTGTGTAAATATGGGTTCAAGAACATATGCTAAAATTGAACACCAATCTTCTCTCTTGAAACATGTTCATCCTACAAGTTATAGCACTTGCTCTTTTAAGCAGGCATCACTAGCACTTTCCTGCCACTTCTTAACTCTCTGTGTTTTATAGTCTTCCAGGGAGAAAGGAGCCTGACTGCTTAAGCACCCCTCCAGGCAGGATGGACAGCGGCTCCAAATATCTAACAGATGTCGTGCTGTACCTCAGGATGAATCTATTATTGATTCGGAACTCTTGCTCGGGTAACTTTTTGCCAGGTTTCCTTTCACACTTGTGATGAGGAAACGGATTGAACATCAGTAAGGGGACAAGACAATAACAATAAACAGACATGGTTTAGAGCAAGACAGAAATAACAAAAACAATCCCTGGCCCCCTGACAGTCGGTCTCCTTCCAGCGCCAGGTTGCAAATCACTTTGTTTCCTTCTCCCTGAGCTCACACACATTCAGATACAGGATCTGAAAACTTGCCCAATTTGAGTTCTTGTTCAGGAAATATTTGGATAAGAGAGACAGGACTAAAGAAATTCAGAGTCATCTTGGAGGAAGTTATCAAAAGAGATGGGCGTGTTAGGCCTGGAAAGTGAAAAGGACGACTTAATTCTCCATTCCTGTCTAATCAGAATCATTTGTAGCCTCAGAAGCAGATCCTGATTGCAGTGGACGCCAAAGGCATATTTTCCATGTTCAAAGCAGAATCCATCATATTCTCCCCCTCCTTCCAAGCCTGCAGTCTCTCATCCAATTTACCTAATACATCACTGTCATGTTCATTTTTCTAAAGCTCTTTCCTCTCAACTGCCTTAGATAGTTTCAGGAAGTTGGTGTGATAAAAATATATGAATTAGTTTATCTAACTGTTATGTAATGAGTGCCAGCATTAAGGCTACAGAGAGCAATAAGAAACGGTGCTGCCCAATGTAGCCGGAAGATGGTAATATAAATGGACACACAAAACAGTGACAAGTGGAGTCAAATGGAGCTATGGAGAAGAAGAGAGGGTATTAACTCAATGGAGGGAGGGGGCAAGGCTAGGGATTATCAGGGAAGGCTTCATGGAGGAGGTGACATTTGAGCTGAATTTCCAAGGCTGAATAATATTTTTCCAGGCAGACAAGGAGACTACTCACACACAGGTATGGGGGTGTGAGAAATCATGACATTTAATGCAACAGTGAGGAATTCCAGGTCAAAGCACAGGGACCACAGGGGATGTGTGTTGAGGGGGTTACCTGGTAGGCAGATAGGTAAAATTTTAAAGATGACAATCCTGATATACCATACTAAAGCCTTGGACATTCTTCTATGGGAGAGAGGATTTTATTGATGGATTTTAAGCTACGGAACCATGCAATCATATTTCTAATTAAGACTCATGTCTTGTGGGCTGGGAAGGAGACAGCAAGCCTGGTGGGGGCTGTGCTGTTTGGAGGCAGCACTGACATGGGGTACTAGGGAAAAAGTGCTGTAGTAAGAGTCCAAGGGGGAATTGATAAGGATTGGGGAGCAATTTCAATGTAAAAGGTTGAATAATGATAAATAATAAATTAATGTAGGCCACTAACTTGCTTGAAAACAAAACAAAACAAAACCTTCAGTGGTTTCTCATGACTTAACCAAATTAAGCTGAAAGTATTTAGCCTGATATTCAACACCCTTAAGAATTTGGGTCCGGTCCATCTTTCCAATTCCACTTCTCAGTGTTCCTCTGCTGGGAGAAGAAGTGGAGGAATGCTCGTTGCTTTCTCTGTGTTTTCCTGATTCCCTGTCATTTCTCAGGCTCTTCGCTCTGCAGTGACAACGCTTCCAACCCTTCTCGTCCAAAGCCTCCCAGGGGCCCACCAATCCACGCTCCTTTGTCATCTCCCTGACCGAATAGAATCTCTCCCTTCTTGGAGATTTCATAGGAACATGAGTTTATCTCCCTTATTTCACGTATTTCTTTGGTGCTTTGTATTGGCTTAATAGTTTTCTCTTTCTTCCAATGCATTTATCAACTAAGATGTAATCTTAGTACTAGGACTTTCTTATTCATATTTTTATCCCCTTGCACGTCTCACTCCTAGAACTTTGTACAAAACACTTATTTTTTTTTCAAATTTAAGATTTTTATTACAGCTGAATTTCCTCAGTTTCGTGAAGTAAAGTGGAGAATTAGAACATTTAGGCAGATAATTCAAGTCAAAGTATCTATTTGGCCATGATACCTGGCCATTGCTAAATGAAATCTCATGACAATATTAATTTAGACAAGATTCACTAATTGAGTAAAGAAAAACATATATAAAGTTTTTATACCCCCAAATATCATATTCATCAATAAATCCTGGTTATGTTTGGCACATCACAAAGAGACCAATGAATCATAAAGATATTATTGATAAGATTCTATAAGCTCATATCCTGCTATTAATTTTTTATACCAAATTCTTATTGGCTTTAATGAGAGTTCTGATTTTTTTTTCAACAGACAACCACATAAAAGAAGTTTTAAATAAATTTGTTTTCAGTTCTATAGTGAAGTATATGTAGGTTCAAGTGGAGAAAATTGCTTTGGGACATATTTATAGACCATATGTATTTATTCATCTAGGGATATTTGAGTAAAAACTCCCCTCAAAGACCACAAACATGAAACAGTACATGAGTATCTGCATCATTGCTATTTTGTTTCTCAATATGATTATTATTATATTTATATGGTATTTGTCTTTGAGTGGCAATGAGTACACTTAATTAAAAAACTTTGAAAATTGTTTCATCTCTACATGGTTCTTAACGATCAAACGTTACCACTATTTAACTGATGTGGAGCCAAAGCACAAAGAGGTGAAGCTAATTCCTGGAGAGAACTTGAGATAACCTGGGGAGTCTGTAAATATTTTAGCACGGTCTTCAAAGCTCAGTTCTATCCCACTTCCTCCCAATACCTTTGCTTGGCCATTCTGAGTCAGAGTGATCCTCCTGAGTCACTGTTGCATCAGACATGGCTCTTGTGCCACTCTCTGCTTTGTGTATGTTGGTCTTGTCTGCCCATTTAGACTTCAAGTTCCTTTAGGGACATGAAAACATATTATTAGCTCATTGATTACAATAATTTCTAAAATTACCCCTTGGAATTAAATATGTTAAGCATCTGGTTTATCCTTTCTAGAAACATCTACTCTAACATTTGTTGAGTACTTAGTATGTGCCAGGTACCAGAGGCAGAGAAAGGAATAATCCATTGCAGTACCTTCTCCAAATCTATGGGTGAGACAGGACAATTACCACAGCTGAAGTCTGGTGAGAAGGGTTCTTTTATGGAGAAAAAGACAAGGGTATCTTGGTCCACAGAGAGGGCACTGCTAACAAGCTAGCCACTTACAATCAATAGAACAGAGGCTCCGGAAAGAAAAATAACTTGCCCAGTATAATGGTTCAGTACATGGCAGTTGCAGGATTTAAACCCCAAGTATACAACTTCACAGCCCAGGTTTCCTTTTCGACATCAATTTGTTATCCCACTTGAACACCTAACTGTGTCTTACTTGTGGGTGTACTCCTCTGCACCTGTACTACAGTTGCCATACATAGGAAATAGTTGTTTTACTAAGTTAATGTGCGGAGGTCATGTAATGTTTCTTACTGCATTTCATGCCAAATTTTAAGTTAATACTAAATGGCTAACTAAAGCATTTGCATGTTTTCAAAGAGAGATTGGGGGAAGATCAGGAAAGACTATTGCTCTATTTCCCTTTTGCCATTGAAATTGAAAAAAAGAAAGAAAGAAAGAAAGAAGGCCACTGCTTAACCCACATGGATAGAAATGGGGCAGAACTGGGGTCTGGCAATGAGTGATGGGCAGAAGGCTGTTGCAAAGTGAGTGAGTGGACATTGAAAGTGCAGGGTTGGCTGCTTATACCTTCTGTCTAATTCAGCTGTTTGTATGGGTTTCAGACAGGAAAGGTTCAAGTGCAGGATGGATTTGTGATATAAACGCCCCATTCTTTATGCCCATTCTTCCATCATTAACCTTCCTACTCAGTCCTCGAAATGAAAAGCCCGGCATCTTCCATCTGCTCCACGTTATTTATGATGATGTCTCTAATTATGTCCAATTGAGTTGCTGTCGATGATTAAAGGTAATAAGTAATAATAACTTGGCCTCATCATTACCACCATTATTATTAGCTCATTGATTGCAATAATTTCTAAAATTACCCCTTGGAATAAAATATGTTAAGCACCTGGTTTATCCTTTTTAGGAACATCTGCTCTAAATGTGTGATAGCATGGGACTGAACGTGTCTTGCTCCACAAGGAAAGCAAACAGTGTTGACATTGAGAGTCTTGGTTGTGCTGGTATGGATATATTGTGAGATGAGGAGAGGAGGAAATAATGATCATGCTCAAGTTCAATGCTGGAATTATAGAGCTGTTTAAAAAAAAAAGGAAGAAAAACAAACACACGCACACAACCTGGCATATTCTGTGGCTACTGCAATCTTTGCTCTTCTTTGAAAAGATTCCCACCTTCAGTGTGGCCCTGATCTTTGCCATGGTGGTGCTTCTCCTGATCTGTATAACCAGGACATTGGGTGAGTGGTAACTGGGAGGAATAGGTAGCGAGAGAGATTATAGAGCTACATGTGGTAGGGAGGGCAGTGGTCTATAGGAAATCCGTTGAGAAGATCCACTCCCTAACACCATGTTCCTGCTTTGGTTCTGGAAATTTCACCATGGCCTTTCATTCTTTTTGGTTAAGTGGTCTTCTCAAGATTCCTCTTTGGGAGTGAGAGTCCGCCACTGGGGGTTGCACTGCATGTTTATAATGCCTTGGTATGCTTTCCTTTATAACATACTTACCTCTTTATGGGGATGGTAGCCACTGTAGAGAGACACCGCATTTTCTTAGTGGTAAAAGATACTAGGGAAACATTAGCTCTGAGAATGGTATTTAAAACAGTGGCTACCATTTTGGTCAGTGAAAATATAGAACATTTCCGTCATCACAGAAAGTGCTGTTTTAGAGAGTGCAGATAGACCTTTAGAAATATTTATTAAGTAAGGATTCGATGTGACAAACTTTTGCTGGGTGCTAAGAGCTTATTTGCCATAGGCACCCCCCAAAAATTTGAGCGACTGAATCACATATAATCTATCCCAGCTCTGAAGAACTCAGATACTTAAAAATTATAAGATACGAAAACAAGATATAAGGCCTGACACGGTGGCTCATGCCTGTCATTCCAGCACTTTGGGAGGCCAAAATGGGCCTTTGGGGGCTCCTAGACCCTTTGCCATGGTACCTCTGATTTCTCAGGGACTTTGCATATACACCTTCTGATTGAATTCACTGAGCACAGCTGCAGTGAGCCACATTCAAGCTGCTGTACTCCAGCCTGGGTGACAGAGTGTGACCTTGTCTCAAAGCCACAGCAACCACCAGGATCTATGTCTGTATATTATCAATATATAAAATAAATGAATATTTAAAAATGAATTACTCCTTATTTGTTGTCTCATTTACTACTCATAATAATTCTGAAAGAGTGGATTATGCCTATTTTATAAATGAATAAATAGGCCCTGTGAGGCTAGATAACTTAGCCAAGGCCACAGAGACTATCTAGCATGCCATGTAAGTGGTAGACCCTGTCTGGCCTTTAGAATCCTATTTCAATGCCTTTTTCCAAAATATCCTACATACATGCACAGGTGGATATAAATGTATTTACTCTTTCTATGGAGAATATTATGCTCCAAATGGACTCAATTGTATCATAATCAGACTAAATGCAAATTATATCTGGGAAATAAAAATAAAAATCTGTGGTGTAAAAACCTTTGAATTATTTTTTAGATCTCTTACACTAGGTCAAAAAATGCAAAACATTTTTAAAATTGATATTAATGGTGACTTATAAATATTCAATGAGATGAACACAAAATAGATTTTCTAATTTTCTAATTTTGTCACATTATGAAATCACAGTGGTGGAAGTTTAATTTCCTTTCTAACTTGAAATCTTCACTTCTTCTCTCTGCTTTGACCAGGTCATTAGTTACCTACAGTCAAGTATGGATTTGGACTGCTCTGCCTAGGTCAGGGTGGCTCCCAGACCCCTTGCCATTGTACCTCTGGTTTTTCAGAAACTTTTCATATAAACCTTCTGATTGAATTCACAGAAACTAAGGAATATATATGTCACTGGTATATAAGTACTTGTGGAACTTCTATGTGGCTCCAGGGGTATGATTTGGCCTTGGCATCCACTCCCTTTAATACTTTCAAGGTCCCTGAAGAATGTCATATTTCAGGAAAGAGTTCTAGTCACATTGTATCATTAACTTTATGGAGTGTTGTGGAATAACAGTTTGATTCTGATAGAATAAAGGTGCAAATCCACATGCATAATTTAAAATAAAAATCCCTTCTCTGGTACCATATAAATACATGCCAGGTGTGAAAGGAGAACTGAAACAGTCTCTGAGGATGCTATCGCAAAGGAGGCCAAGCTTTCTCCATCAGCTACTTTCAGCCCCTGGGGAACTCATGTGAGTAGCTTCCACCATCATATCTGATGTTACTCCTAGAAACTTTCCAGGGATCCCTTTTACTCTCCCTACCCTCTCTTTCTCTGCCATAAATATAAATCAAGAGTGAATTTCTGGAGGTTCAACCTGGAATACCTTGCTTCCTTTATTGGGCTGTGAACCAGAAAGAATGAGGTAAGATACTTACAAAAGTTATTTGTTAGCTTCTAGACTACATTGGTGTAAGGGCATCATTTTTTTATTTGCAGAAGAGTTTAAGCTTCAGCTAAATAGCCAAATGCTGAGAAACTCACCCCCACAAAAAAAACTGTTAGAAATAAAAAACAAATTGAGTAAAGTTGCAGGATATAAAATCAACATACAAAAACAGTGTGTTTCTGTCCACTAACAAAAAAAATCCAAAAAGGACATTAAAAAACAAATCTCATTTAAAATAGCATCAAAAAAGCCTTAGATATAAATTTAACCAAGGGGTGAAAGATCTGTACACTGAAAACTATAAAGCACCAATAAAACAAATTAGAGACAAATAAATGAAAATATATCCCATGTTCATAAATTAGAAGAAATAATATTGTTAAAATGTCCATACTACCAAAAGATGTCTAATGATTCAATGCAATCTCTATCAAAATTCCAATGGCATTTTTTTCACAGATATAAAAAACAATCCACAAATTTATATAGAACCACACACACACACAAACAGAACAGCCAAAGCAATCCTAAGTAAGAAGGACAAAACTTAGAGGCATCACACTTTCTGATTTCAAATTATATTATAAAGCTATAGTAGTCAAGCCAGTATGGTACTGACGTAGAAATAGACACATAAACCAATGGAACAGAATAGAAGGTCCAGAAATAAACCCACACGTATATGATCAACTAATTTTTGACCAGGGCATCAAGAATGCACAAGGAGAAAAAATAGTCTCTTCAATAAATGGTGTTGGGAAAATTGGTTATCCACAGGAAAACAAATGAAATTGCACCCTGTTTTACACCATACGCAAAAATCAACTCAATATTGATTAAAGACTTAAACATAAAATCTGAAACCATAAAACTCCCAGAAGAAAACATGGGGAAAAAGTCTCTTGACATTGGTTCTGGCAATAATGTTTTGAATATGACACCAAATGCACAGACAACAGAAGCAAAAAATAAACAAGTAGGATTACATCAAATTAAACAGCTTCTTCACAGCAAAGGAAGCAATCCACAAAATGAAAAATCAATCTGTGGAATGGGAGAAAATATTTGCAAACCATACACCTGATAAAGGGTCAATAACTAAAGTATACAATGAATTTCTATAACTAAAGGGCAAAAATAAAATAATTCAATTAAAAATAGGGAAAGAACCTGAATAGACATTTCTCCAAAGAAGACATGACCAACAGGTGTATGAAAAGGGGCTCAACATTACTAATCATTAGGGACATGCATATCAAAACCACAATGAGTTATCACCTCACACCTTTAGTATGGCTATTATATAATAGCCATTTTCCATGTTCTCACCAGCACTTGTATATATATATACAATTGTATATATACAATATAGTATATTGTATATATACAATATATATACAATTGTATATACAATATTGTATATTGTATATATACTATATATACAATTGTATATATATTATTGTATATATATGGTGTGTATATATATACAATCGTATATATATTGTGTGTATATATGTACAATCGTATATATATTTTGTGTATATATATACAATCGTATATATAGTATATATGTATACATATATACACATATAAACATATGTGTATATACGTATGTACACATAGATATGTATATACACATATATACATATATGTATGTATATGTATATATGTATATATACATATACATATATGTATATATACATATACATACATGTATATATACGTATACATATACATGTATACATATGTATATATGTATACATGTGTATATGTATACATGTGTGCATATGTATAAGTGTGTGTACATATGTGTATATGTATATGTGTGTATACATATATGTGTGTATGCATATATGTATACATATATACTATATATACAATTGTATATATACACAGACAATATATATACAATACACAAATATACATATATGTATACTATATATACAATTGTATATATAGTATATATAGTATATGTATATATAGTATATATACACAATTGTATATATATACTATATATACAATAGTGTATATATACAATATATATACAATACACAAATATATATATTATATATACACACACACACGCACAAGTGCTGGTGAGAATGTGGAAAAAGGGGAATCCTTGCACATTATTGATGGGAATGTAAATTTTTATAGCCGTCACGGAAAACAGTATGGAGGTTCCTTGAAAACTAAAACTACCATATGATTCAGCAATCTCACTTCTGAATATAGATCCAAAGAATTGAAATTAGGATCTTGAAGAGGTATCTATGCTTCCGTGTTCATTGCAGTATTATTCACAATAGCCAAGATATAGAAACACGTAAGTGTCCTGTGGTGGATGAATGGATAAACAATTGTGAGAGAGAGATATATATATAACTCATATATATATATATATATATATATATATATATATATGACACACACATATGGCACACATGTGACATATGACATGACACACACGACATATGACACACATATGACATATATATGACATATATATATCACACACACACACACACACACACACACACAATGGAATATCATTCGCCCTTAAAAAGGAAATCCTGCCATTTACAATAACATGGATGACCTAGAGGGTGTTATCATAAGTGAAGTAAGCCAGTCACAGACAAATGCTGTATGACCTCATTTACATGTGGAATCTAAAACAGTCAAACTCATAGAAGCAGAGAGTAGAATGGTGGTTGCTAGGGGATGGGTAGGGAGAAAGGAGGAGGTGTTGGTTAAAGGGTACAAACTTTCAGTAATGCAAGATGAATAACTTCTGGAGATCTATACAGCATATATAATATTGTAGACTTAACATTTGCTAAGATAATAGATCTTACCATAAAAATAAGTAAATTAATTAAATGACAGCAACAACAATAATAATAAATGGGATGGAAGGAAACTTTGGGAGGTGATGGATATGTTGATGGCCTTGACAGTGGTAATAGATTCATGGATGTATACATATCCACAAACTCATCAAAATATATATATTAAATATGTACAGTATAGGTCAATAATACCTTAATAAAGCATTTTAAAAAAATACTTACTGTTAAGAAGGAGATCTCTGAACTACTATCTAAAACAATGGATGTGTAATTTAACCAACTTGGAACTGTGTAAATGTATCAGAAAGCATTTATTCCAACATTCATTTCCTTCTGTCCTCTGAAAGGCCTCTTTGTCTTTGACCTGCTGCCATTTATTTTAGCAGCATGCAAAGGTGGTTCACTGCATACTTGGATCTATCCTCAAGAAAGATGATGGACAAAGTTCTCTTCAGCTCCTCCAAACACCCCTTTCTGAACCCTTCTTTCCTCTTTTAAGGTCTCAACCTTTTTTTTTTTTAACCTTACTGTTTTCTGCTTCTTGAAGTCACCCGTGTCACAGAGTCAAAGAATATAATGACTTCTCGTAGAGGAGAGTTAGGGACTTCAGCATTTACCGGGGAACATCAGCATTTACAGGAGGAAATCAGAGAGGGAAAGGTTGTGTTCAAAGGAATGAATGAAGTCAGGGTTTCATGCATTGTAGATCATGCATTTGAGAAAAGCTAGGGGTGAAGATCTTCACCAATATTGGAAATCTCTTATGAGCTTGGTTATTATTTTCTACACCCTTGCTTGGCTGAGAGAGGAGTGAGGAAACTTCTGTGGGGCCTGAGCATCAGTCAAGAGGACCTAGATGAAAAGCCTGGAGCGGGGGAGGCCCACGGACACAGAGCACTTGGAAGAAGAAGGGAACATGTGGCCCACTGGTGATCTGTGTTTACTCGTCTGTCTGGTGTGTTCCGAGAGGAGGATGCAAGCCAGCCAGAGGTCAGCAAGTCAAAACCCTTTGAAGACAGACCCAGCTTCTGAAATGGATCTGGCGTTCCCTTGCTGGCTCAGTATCCCACAGTAGTTCACACACTTCCCAGCCATCACCTTTTGTGTGTGAATTGTCTACAAATTTCATTGATAGAAACACAAATGTGCAAAACTGTGACATCTTTATTTTTCTGGTACTAAACCATCACTCTCTGGTGCTCCATTTTCCCTAACAAGAACTTTCATATTATTTCTGAGCAGGCTTACATTTAAACCCAATTAGTGTTTTTTCCCCCACTCTTCGTCATCCCAGAGTATCATCTAAATATTTTTGGGGTATGCACATTAGGGCAGGAGTTGTCATAGCTATCCTTGCCCTTTGTTGTCCCCCATGGGGTGTACCTAATTCACATCACCACTGACCTCTGTCTCTCCTGCTGGTGTCCACGGTCCATCAAGGTCTCAGGTTTGTCCCCACTGTGCTGTTGCTGCTGATAGTGGCCTCTTGTCAGGCATCTTCTGATCCAGGACCTTCAAGAACATAAGAAATGTTTGGATGCCCTCTCACAATCCCTTTCTTCTTAGATATTCCAATTTCCTCTTCCAGTTCATTGCACTGAGGGGCAGGGCACATCTGAGAGGCTCTAAACTCAGCCTACTCAACAGGAGGCGGAATGCAGTGCTGTCTTCCAAGAATTCCCACTCCCCATCCCAAACCTGACTACCGTTTAGATCACCTTCTCTAGGGCTGGGCCTAGCTCTACAAGAGAGGAAGATGGGAGCAGAGTCCCTTCTCTGAGACCTACACAGTGACTACTAAATATTGCCCCCTTTTCCATCTCAACTCTCTTCTTTCTCCAGCAGATTGAATTTATGTAGTTTTTTGAGAGAAATCTGCCTTCTTCCTAACACTACTATTTATGGTATAAGATTTATCTTCATATTCCATCTGAGTTGACTCAGAAAAACCTTTTCTCTATCATAAAAACTTGGCTCTCACAATGAAAGCCTTGGCGCTCAAGATTATGCTCTGCTTTGAGTTTCTGGAGAATATTTTAGAAATAAGTCAAGATTTGATTCTTATATTTTCTGCATTTTCTCCTTCCCAAAGCAATAAAAATACCTAGTTTTTTGTTGTGGTTGTTGGGTTTTTGTTTTTTTTTTTTAATTGAAACTGAGTCTCACTCTATTGCCCAGGCTGGTGTACAGTGACGTGATCTCAGCTCACTGCAACCTCTGCCTCCCTGGTTCAAGCGATTCTTGTGCCTCAGCCTCCCGAGTAGCTAGGATTACAGGCGCCCACCACCACACCAGGCTAATTTTTGTATTTTTAGTAGAGATGGGGTTTCACCGTGTTGGCCAGGCTGGTCTCAAACTCCTGACCTCAAGTGATCCG